>NC_000001.11:235275030-235426545 GCF_000001405.40 Homo sapiens
GCAGACCGCTCTGCCTATTCAATGACTATGCACATATGAGGGACCCAACAAATCATATTTTAATAAGTAAAATAAGGACAAACTATCTTACAGATGACCAAATTTTTACGACAAAGAAGCCCACACAGCTTTACAAAGACTAAGTCACTAACATGACAAGTATCAATTACAAGTTATTTCTCTTAACAAAGAGATATGTTCTGGCAATATGCTTTGCCAACAAGTAATTCATTAGACTGCTAGCCACCTGATCCAAACTGGGCCGATCGGTTTTACTCTGCTATGAAGTTAAAGCTAGGTTAACCAATTAGCCGGTAGAGAAAGGATGTGATGCAGCCTATGGTAGCCATTTTCTGGCATGCACAGGGAGAAGTAGAGAAAACCAGTCTGCTGAGAGGAAGTAAGAAATAAAACAGATGCAGAGGGGGAAAAAGTGCACATAAGAAACTGTGGGTTCTCTGAGTGACTGAGAGAATAGCTAGCCTTAGTTCCTGCTAGCTTTCCAACTGCCTCCTCAAGCCAAACTGGAGTTCCCCTCTTTGGGTACCATGAGATGCTCTGTACCCTTATAATAGATTCTCTTTTCTGCTTTTCATCACCTGAAATGGGTTCTATTACCCATAACCAAAATAGCTTTAATTAAACCCATCAGATGCCTATTATCAAAATAGAAATAATATCAAATACAGTTACAATTCCACAAACATTAATTGAGCACCCACAATGCCCTGGGATATTCAGAACTTAGATCACATCTAGACAAATATTAAACCAATTCCAGTTTACATTTTTAAGCTAAACTGTCAAAATATACAAAAATCCTGGGCTGGGCACAGTGGCTCACGCCTGTAATCCCAACACGCTGGAAGGCCAAGGTGGGAGGACTGCTTGAGCCCAGGAGTTCAAGACCAGCCGGGACAACACGGCAAAACCTCATCTCTACAAAATATCAAAAACTTAGCCAGGCGTGGTAGCACACACCTGTGGCTCCTAGCTAGTGAGGGGGCTGAGGCAGAAGGATCACTTGAGCCTGGGGAGTAGAGGCTGCAGCAAGCTGTGATCACACCATTGCACTCCAGCCTAGGTGACAGACAGAGACTTTCAAAAAAAGAAAAAAAATCTTGACCAGTAAGAAATAATGAAATGTGAACATACGAAGCAAAAAAAAAAAAAAAAAGATTTTTTTTTTGAAAAGCTATTTGAGGTCATCAGATCATTATTATAACATTAGTAGCATTAGCAAACTAACGCTAATTAGTAGCATTAGCAAACATTAGTAAGATATAACCTCTGGCTATCAATTTTTAAAAATCAGCTTTTAAGCCCTTACCAGATGCGTCTGGCCCTACAATCTTATTAAAAATATATTTACACTTTTTAAAAAACAATAGTTTACATCTTCAACAGACTCTTACATTTCTACTCATATTTTTCAAAGTTATAAACTTCTTATCAAATAAAAAGAAAAAATAAAGCAAGAATACTAATTGTCATGGTGGTGCACATCTGTAGTCCTAGCTACTTGTGAGGCTGAGGCAGTAGGATTGCTTGAGCCCAGAAGTTCAAGGCTGTATTGAGCTATGATCACACCACTGCACTCCAGTCTGGGAGACACAGCAAGACCCTGTCTCTTTAAAAAAGGAAAGAAAGAAATTACAAGTTATTTCTCTTAAAAAAGAGATGTTGGCCAGGCGCGGTGGCTCATGCCTATAATCCCAGCACTTTGGGAGGCCGAAGCAGGGGGGATCACCTGAAGTCAGGAGTTTGAGACCAGCCTGGCCAACATGGTGAAACCTCATCTCTACTAAAAATACAAAAAATTAGCTGGGAGTGGTAGCGGGTGCCTGTAATCCCAGCTACTCGGGAGGCTGAGGCAGGAGAATCGCTTGAACCCGGGAGGTGGAGATTGCAGTGAGTCGAGATTGTGCACTGCAATCAAGCCTAGGTGATGGAGCAAAACACCATCTCCGAAAAAAAAAAAAAAAAGATATGTTCTGGCAATATGCTTTTGCCAAGAAAAACCCTGAGCAACAAAGGAAGACATGGCTCTATAAAAAATAAAAAAATTATCTGGGCTCAGTGGCACACGCCTATGGTCCCAACCATTCAGGGGGCTGAGGTGAGAAGATCACTTGAGCTCAGGAGGCCAAAGGTGCAACAAGACATGATCGTGCCACTGCACTTCAGTTTGGGTGGCAGAGAGAGACTCTCTCTCTAAAATTTAAAAAAGATTTTAGAGGCTGGGTGCAGTGTAATCCCAGCACTATGGGAGGCTGAGAAGGGTAGATCACCTGAGGTCAGAAGTTCAAGACCAGCCTGACCAACATAGTGAAACCCGGTCTCTACTAAAAATACAAAATTAGCCTGGCATGGTGGCGCACGCCTGTAATCCCAGCTACTCGGGAGGCTGAGGCAGGAGAATGGCGTGAACCCGGGAGGCGGAGCTTGCAGTGAGCCGAGATCCCGCCACTGCACTCCAGCCTGGGCGACAGCGAGACTCCGTCTCAAAAAAAAAAAAAAATAATAATAATAATGTAAATGAGACCATTTTTAATGCCTTATATTGTGTGTGTGTGTGTGTGTGTGTGTGTGTGTGTGTGTGTGTGTGTGTTTCATTGGTTTTGTTTTACATTTTTCTCCTGATGACCTTGCCCAGCATCTTTCAGGATTTTAATGGTGGCACTAAATGGCTTTTCTTGGCCATTCCTTCCATACTACCTCACACTAAATGGAGATTCTATTAGTTGCTGAGGATATCTATTCCAACTATTCACTTAGGACCATAAGAAACAATTTCAAGATGAGTGTAAGGAAACATATTTAAGTCAAAACTCTATCAAAATGCTATTTCCTGACTCTCCATATGCACCTACTCTTACTGGTAGGTCACAGTGGTATTCTTTTGAGTCACCAGTAATTAATGGTTAAGTCAGAGCCAAAATCAGATTTTAAAACCTGAGTATTATTCCCCTATCCCACTGCACAGCTATTTAAGTAAATGTACACACACAAAGTATCATTAGCAAAGGCAAGTAGAAAGGGCCATGCTACATACAGGGGTATGTAACAGGCCTTCCAGGATACTCGGTCTTGCCTTCTTTCAATGGCCTCTCAGAACTAAACAGACTCAATTTCAAAGCATTCAATAGAATAGTTTATATTAGATTATCATCAGACCTGGAGTTTTAAAAAACTATACCAATCAAATAAGTTACTAGGTTACTTATCTACCTAGGGATCTCAATGCACATGCAAACATTTTCAGAATTTCATTATCAAACATGCCCTCCTACCTAAATGTGTTAACCATGCCCACCTAGCCTCCGTTCTGCTGGAATTTTCTGATCCCCACTGAGATCATGAAAAACATTTCATGGCATCCCCTCCTATAAGCATTCCCAGTGGGACAGAAAAGCCAATAAATCCCTTAAAATAGTCTAGCATTTCCCTTGCCAATCCATTTTCCCTAAGAAAATGGTGAAGAGAGAATCTACTAGACTGTGATTACCCAAGGGAGATGATAAATTCCAGGTGATATGAGGAAGATTAACTGAGCACACACAAAAAATAGTGAACTGTTAATTTACTTATCTTAAAAACAGATAAGAAATAAACTTTACTAGTAAGTATTTCTTATGTTGATCTACAAAAGCAACACACCTTGTGAACACACACATTCTGAGGGAAAAGTGGCAGCTGCACAACACAGCAGGGTTGACAATGAAGTCTTCAATTGTCCTACCACTTTTGGCACACTGTATTTGGTATTCCTGTACATGGGAATTTTACAGATTACATTTTTCTTGTTTACATAAGTTTGTGGATTGTATTATAAACTAGAAAAGTGGTTCCCAAAGTATGCTCCCAGGACCAACACCATCAGCAACATCTGAAAATTTGTTTTTTTGAGACAGGGTCTCACTCACTCTGTCACCCAGGCTGGAAATCCTAACTCACTGCAGCCTCCACCTCCCAGGCTGAAGTGGTCCACCCACCTCAGCCTCCCAAAGTGCTGGGATTACAGCAAAGTGCATACAGCGCCAAGCCAACACCTGGAAATTTGTTAGAAATGCAAATTCCCAGGCACCGCTCCAGACATTCCGAATTAGAAACTCTCCGGGAGGGAAACAGCATTTTGTGTCTTAACAAGCCCTCCAGGACACTCTGATGCACCCCCCACCCCCGGCAAGACTGAGAAACACTGACCCAGAGGTTATTCCTCTAGGTCTTAAGTAGATATTTGTAATAGATATGCTCAGAAACTAACAGAATCTCCATTTAGTTTCCTGAACCACGTAGTATGAGGTATTCTGGTAGGAATCAAAATCTGAAAGCCATTTTGGAAATTTCAGAAGTCATTAAAGACCTGAAAGATATCAGGATAGTGATAATGAAAACAATGTAACATACACACAAAATAAAATACGGCCATAAAGGCAGACCAATTTAAAATAATACATTATTTAAAAATTGAGAGGACTCTAGCAAAGAAATCAGCAATTGAGATAAAATAATCAACGCAAACAACTAAAGAATTAGTAAATAAAAAGCTAATCTTCTATGCAGAAAAAAGTTAACAGCAGACCTGAGATGGCTTTCCTTAGAAAGGGCTGCTTGCAAAGCTGGCCCTTGGCTAAGAACTCACAGGAACCTGGATTTAGGGAGGGTTCCTACCACCAACTGGTAAGAGTGGGTGGTTGTGTCTAAAACAATATGGCTTAAGCTTTCATTATCAGAGTCTAGAATTTGATATATGCCAGACATGCAGTACCTATGTGAACAGCTCCCACTAAAAACCCTGGATGCTGAGTTTTAAGGAGCTTCCCGGGTTGTAACATTTCATGTTGTCACAATTCTTGGTTAGGGGAATTATGTGTGTCTTGTGTAACTCTACCGGGAGAAATTTGCACCTGGTTTCCTCCAGACTTTACCCAATGTATCTTTTCCTTTTGCTGATAATGCTTCCTATCCTCTTGTAATAAATCGCAGCCGTAAACATGACTAATACAATACACTGAGTCCTGTGAGCGCACCTTGTGAATTACCAAATCTAACACTGGTGCTGGAAATATCCAACACATTCTCTTAATTCTATTATGAGCTCTTTGACAGTCATATAATGATAAAAACACTGACAGTAACTTCAAGTCTAAAACATTTGTATTACTCTTACTCCACCCATTAATAAAATAAAACATTTTAATATTATTTTATTTCCATTGTCTTATTCTTTTTAACATATCCAGTAACCTTATTTGAATCACATGCTTAGTTCTTGTACAGTAAAGAACAGGACACCTTCACTGACAATCCAAGGGAAATTGGTATGTTGTTAACAAACAAGGTGGAATACATACTGGGCAGGCTCTAACAAGAGACGATCACTAAAATCAGGCTATTTGACAAACAAAATTGACTTAAAGAATATTGGGGAAGCATCGCAAAGAAATAGTCATGATCTCCCACAACTCAGGTCCTGAGCAGCTCACTGGGTTCCTGCCTCTCCGCTCCTCGCCACGCAAACGGCTCCTGCCAGAACCCAAGATGGCAGCTTCAGGTGGGCAGGTGGCCAGGATCGCCGAAAGCACACCAGTGCCCAGGCGAAGAACAGCCAGGGGCCCCTCCTTGCTCGGTGCCTAACAGCAGGGGCGCAGGGTGGGGCTGCCATCAGCCACGCGCAGAGCCCACTTGGTTATGGCAAGGAAAACCCTGTGACCTAGGGAGTCGCCAGGCTTCCAGTCCTGCTGGCGGGAAGGACTGGCAAGGCAGTGGGGATAAAGGTGCAAGCAAAGAAACCATGGTTTCGGAAGGATAATGTACAGAGAGGCCTTGTGTTGACCCGAGCACGTTTTTTGAAAGAAATTCTTAATATTGGGTGAGCGCTAATTCTCAGTTCAAAAATTAAATCATATGTATAAAAACGAAAAAAAAAGAGTCCTGAGTAACTTCTGATTATTATTTTACATATTAAAAGATAACAGAAAAAAAAAAGCGGTTTCAAATGTGAGTCCTAAGTAAACACTCACCAACTCTACAGCTTACAAGCTTGCCATCAAGGTGGCTTCTCACCAGGACAACTCTATACAGCATGCTTTAAAGTGAGCAGGAGGGTTGGGTGCGATGGCTCAGCCTATAATCTCAGCACTTTGGGAGGCCAAGGCGGGTGGATCACTTGAGCCCAGTTCAAAACCAGCCTGGGCAACATAGGGAAACTGCCTCTGTTAAAAACAAAAATAAAGGCCGGGCACAGTGGCTCATACCTGTAATCTCAGCACTTTGGGAGGCTGAGGCGGGTGGCTCACCTGAGGTAAGGAGTTCAAGACTAGCCTGGCCAACGTGGTGAAACCCTGTCTCTACTAAAAATGCAAAAATCAGCTGGGCGTGGTGGTGCATGCTTGTAGTCCCAGCTACACGGGAGGCTGAGGCACAAGAATCGATTGAACCCAAGAGGCAGAGGTTGCAGTGAGCCAAGATCATGCCACTGCACTCCAGCCTGGGCAACAGAGCGACATTCCGTCTCAAAAAAACAGCTGAGCGTGGTAGCCCATGCCTGTGGCCCCAGCTACTCGTGGTGGAGGCTGAGGTAGAAGGATCATTTGAGCCCAGGAGATCAAGCCTGCAGTGAGTTGTTATCATGCCTCTGCACTCCAGCCTGAGTGACAGACCAACAGCCTGCCTCAGAAAAACAAAAACAAAAACAAAAAACAAAGGGAGCAGGAGTTATTTATTTAACAGTGGTAAGAGGTACTCTCATGCAATTCTTAGGGAGGCTGGTGAATGTATTTTTAAAAACCTGTTCTTTATACAATTCAGAAGACCAATAAGAAATGCTGAAAAAATCAGAAATACAAAAATTAAAAGAAATTATCACATTACTTATATTAGATATCAACATTATAAATAAGGGAATACTTTTCAGATACAAAATGATCTCTAAAACTTTCCTATTTTGGGTAAAATACTAGCCTAGGAACATACATCATGAATATACACCATGATTCAGAAGGGGACTCTGCTATGAAATAAAAACAGTGAAATACTAGAATATAGTGGCATATTTGAAGGAATTGAAAATCATCAAAAACACAATCACTCCTAAAGCATATAATCTAACAATGTCTTCAGGGAGTCCTGGTTAACCTAGTATCACTTGCTCATCCCTTAGCCCTGTGATACTTATGAAAACTGTTTACAGTTTTGTTTAATTATATCCTCAGGATTCAAAGTTTTTACATGGTCTCAGAAACCCAAGATCTACTTGAGAAATGCATTGATTTTATTCCTCAGCGCTGTCTCTAACTTACAAAAAGTAATATTTGCTGCTCAAGGCTACTTCACAGGATATAATCAACGCAAAGCAACCTTCTTTTTGGTAGGCTTTGGGATAACAGTCAATGCAAATTTAGTGAATGCGAAAATTAGTTGTATGAGTGTGTCAAACTTTTGGAAGCACAAGTAGGTAAACCAAGGTGCCATGGACAATGGGTGAAAACTATTATAAATATGGAAAATTTTAACCTGGAAACCATAACACTGTTTCTGTGGATTTCTGAAGACCCTACAAGAATTTTCAGAGATGATATATCTACACAATAAAGCCTGTACTTTCGACAGACCCAAAAAAGTTTAAGAACTCCTATTGTACCCTGAATTTTCAGAAAAATTAGAGAAAGAGAAAACAGGAATACTTAAAGACAACCAAATTTAACCAGACATGGAAATATTTACATTACATACTATTTAATTTTATTTATTTATTTATTTATTTTTTTGAGACGGAGTCTCTGTCACCCAGGCTGGAGTGCAGTGGCACGATCTCGGCTCACTGCAACCTCCGCCTACCGGGTTCACGCCATTCTCCTGCCTCAGCCTCCCGAGTAGTTGGGACTACAGGCGCCTGCCACCACACCTGGCTAATTTTTTGTATTTTTAGTAGAGACGGGGTTTCACCGTGTTAGCCAGGATGGTCTCGACTCCTATTGTGATCCACCTGCCTTGGCCTCCCAAAGTGCTGGGATTACAGGCGTGAGCCACCGCACCTGGCCGATACTACTTCATTTTATAACAAAATAAGAAGTTTTATGTATCTTTTAAAACACATTCATTTTCATCACAAAAACAATTATGTAGATAAATAAAAAAGTATTATTACCCACTGGTATAAAAGAGCAAAGAGAGGTGGAGCTTTAAGTGATTTTAAGGACATAATTCACTAGAGGCAGGAAAAAGAGCTTAAATCCAGATGTCATACCATAACTGCCTTATCAGGTAGTAACAACTTAACACCCTCTTAAAAAAACCTATCTGTAACCAACATAAACTTACCTACTAATTCAGAAGCTAATGTTTAAAATGTTGAAAAAAGATGATTACAAACTATGTTTTAAGAAATACACAGGTAAAGATTTGAAAGTATATACTAAAATGTTAATAGTAGTTACCTCTGTAACGTCTGAATTACGAGTGATCTTTTTCCTACCTGATTTTCTGGATTTTCCATACTTTCTACCATGAGTTTTTTAATAACCAGAAAATGTTAAAATCAAATAAAATGCTTTATGTTCATTATTAAATTATAAAATTATTAATATTAAGTACTATTATTTAACATTTACTTAAGACAGTCAATTTTAAGATTTCTTGCTGATACTTTTAAGAAAAAGTTAACTTAGACCCTAAAGAAAATGAAACCAATCCTTTATTTACTTATTTATTGAGACAGTCTCGCTCTCCAAGACAGTCTTGCTCCAGCTGGAGTGCAATGGTGCAATCGCGGCTCACTGCAACCTCCGCCTCCCAGTTCAAGCGATTCTCATGCCTCAGCCTCCCGAGTAGCTGGGATTACAGACATGCGCCACCACACCCTGCTAATTTTTTTTTTATTTTAGTAGAGACGGGGTTTCGATATGTTGGCCAGACTGGTCTCAAACTCCCGGCCTCAAGTGATCCGCCTGCCTCGGCCTCCCAAAGTGTTAGGATTACAGGTCTGAACCACCACGCCCAGCCTCATTCTACATTTAAAACAAATCAACATTAATTCTTCAAGGCCAGGCCGGCACAGTGGCTCACGCCTGTAATCCCACCACTTTGGAAGGCCTAGACAGGCAGATCACTGAAGGTCGGAGTTCGACACCAGCCTGGCCAACATGTGAAACCCCATCTCTACTAAACATACAAAAATTAGCTGGACGTGGTGGCAGGCACCTGTAATCTCAGCTATTCGGGAGGCTGAGGCAGAAGAATCGCTTGAACCTGGGAGGCAGATGCTGCAGTGAGCCAAGATTATGCCACTGCACTCCAGCCTCAGCGACAGAGCGAGACTCCGTCTCTGGGGGAAAAAAAATTCTTCAAGGCCTAAATTATCTGCTCTCCAAGTATCCTATAAAATTGATGATGCAATGTGATGAATTGATCAGAGAAATTTAATTACATATACTTCACTAGCTTTTTCTATTACAAGTGATCTTTAAAACCATAATGTGATTATGACCTAGTATTTCAAATAAAAATTGCTGGGCACAGTGGCTCATGGCTATAATCCCAGCTACTTGGAAAGCTAACGTGAGAGGATCCCTTGGGCCCATGAGTTCCAGAACAGCCTATGCAACATAACAAGATACCATCTCTAAAATTAAAATTTGGAATTATTCCCAACTCATTCTACAAAGCCAGCATTATTCTGATATATAATGACATTATGAGAAAATAAAACTAGAGGCTGGACATGGTGGCTCATGCCTATAATCCCAACACTTTGGGAGGCTGAGAGGAGAGGACTGCTTGAGGCCAGGAGCTCAAGACCAGCCTGGGCAACATAGCAAAACCACATCTCTACAGACCAATATCCCTCATGAGCAAAAATGCAAACAATATATATATATTTTTTTTTTGGAGACAGGGTCTTGTTCTATCACCCAGGCTGCAGTTCAGTGGTGCCATCTTGGCTCACTGCAACCTCCAACTCCTGAAGTCAAGTGATCCTCCCACCTCAGCCTCCCAAGCCTCCCAAGTAGCTGGGACCTACAGGTGCAGACCACCAAACCCAGCTGACTTTTTTTAAAATTTATTTTCTGCAGAGACAGGGTTTTGTCATGTTGCCTAGGCTAGTCTTAGACTCCTGGACTTAAGCCAACCCAAAGTGCTGGGATTAGAGGTGTGAGCCATCACGCCCAGCCCAAAAATTCTAAATAAAATTCTAGCATGTAGAATCCAACAATATGTTCTAAAAGGTAATATATCATGACCAAGTGCATTTATTGTAGAAATGGAGGATTGTTCTAAAATTCAGAAGTCAATGAGTGTAATTAACGTATCAACAAACTTTAAAAACAGATTACCTCAATATATCCAGAAAATGCATTTTATTAATACAAAATCCATAAGCCACTCCTGATGTAATCTCTCAGCAAACTAGGAACAGAATGAAACTTCCTCAATCGGACAAAAGGCATCCATGAAAAATCTGCAACTAACATTATACTTAACGGTGAAAGACTGAATGCTTTTCCCTACAATTAAGAACAAGACAGGGATATCCACCTCACCACTTCTATTCTGCATTGTTTTGGAGAGCCAATGCAATCAAGAAAGAAAAGATATTTGAATTGGACATGAAGAATAGTAGCTGCCTTTACTGACAACATGATCCGCTACCAAGGAAATCCAAAGGAATCTACAAAAATCCTGCTGTAACCAATAGGTGGTTTTAGCAAGATCACAGGATACACAATATAGAGAAGTCAATAGGATTCCTATACATTAGCAACAATCAGAAATTGAATTTTTAAAATACCATTAACAACAGAATAAAAAATTACTAAATATTTAGAGATCTGGCAGAGAGTTCTCATTCTGAGAGTTCTAACTAGTAAATCAGGATTCCTTACACAAGTGTTTTTCAAACTGAGCCACAACCTATTAATTACTAGGTAGGGAAAGAACAAGAGAAAAAAATGATATGAGAGAAAAAATGACTGAGTTAACGCTCATTCACACATTTGTTTCTGGCTTTTGGGTTTTGTTTTGTTTTGTTTTGAGATAGGGTCTCCCTCTGTTATTCAAGCTGAGCTCTGTGGCTCACTGCAGCCTTGACTTCCTGGGCTCAAGCAATTAGCCTGTTTCAGCCTCCCAAGTAGCTAGAACTACAGGCATGTACCACAATGCCCAGCTAATTTTTGATAATTTGTAGAGACAGGGTCTCACTATGTTACCCAGGCTGGTCTCAAACTCCTGGACTCAAGTGATCCTCCCACCTTGGCCTCCCAAAGTGCTGGGATTACAGGCATGAGCCATCGCACCCAGGCTTATTCATACATTTAAACTAAAGCCTATAATGTATCAGGTGCTGGTTAGGAACCAGAGACTTGATTTAAAACTCAGTCTTTGTTTTCATGGAGTGTAGTGGAGGAATCTGTTAAACAGTTAAGTTACCATATGAAGTTAACTACTATGGTCAGATTCTGCACAAGAGGAGCACGAAGAAGGACGTAAATCTATCTTAGGATCTCAGAGAAGGATACCTGAAGGATGACTGGTAATCTAGTAAAAGAATTCTGATGGGTTGAAATGAGAAACAATATAGATTCTGGAGAAGAGCTATAGTGCATGAGGAAAGTAGACAATATAGAAAGCTGCAATTATTAATGACCATAGCCAGAGTTCTGGAGAAGCAAGGCCTGATAGCAACAGGAGAAGAACTACTACAAAGTTTTATGAGCAAGAGTTACATTATCTGATGTCTTAGATCACTGTGGCTGCAATGTGAAAAACAGATACCAATGTACAAATACAAGGCTGAATCAGACAGATCAGTTAGGAATCTGCTACCATAATCTAGAATGAGATACAATGGCTTGCACTAATGCTGGGATGGAGAGAGAAGAACTGGGTAAAGACATTCTCACATTTAGTGACTAACTGAATAAAGGGATTAAAAATTTTACCTTTTGGCCAGGCACTGTGGCTCACGCCTGTAATCCCAGCACTTTGGGAGGGTGAGGTGGGTGAATCATTTGAGGTCAGGAGTTAGAGACCAGCCTGGCTAACACGGTGAAACCCTGTCTCTACTAAAAATGCAAAATTAGCCGGGCGTGGTGGCAGGTGCCTGTAGTCCCAGACACTCAGGAGGCTGAGGGAGGAGAATTGCTTGAACCCAAGAGGCGGAGGCTGGAGTGAGCCAAGATCGTGCCACTGCACTCCAGCCTGGACGACAGAGTAAGACTCTGTCTCAGAAAAAATAAATTTTTTTTTTTTACCTTTTTTCTCCTCACTGCTGACTTCTATTTCAGAAGAGCAGATCTGATCCCAGACTACTAAACAAAGAAAAGAGAACTAGAGAGACACCCAAACTGCAGGGGAGGTTGTAGTAACAAAGCAGAAGACAAAAGGAAATTCCAGGTGAGGCTACAGGGCAAGAACAGTCTCATTGTGTGTTCTGTCTTGAATGTACCAGAAACTACCAGTGTTCATGATGGTATATGAGAAAGAATCTACTTATTTTTATTTTTCTACTTGCCCTAAAGTAATAAACATGCATCACATCAAGCAAATTAATGCCTAATTATCAGCAAATTAGTAAACTATTTCTGTTGACACCTTTATTCTCTACCCAGTAATTCAACCGGCAGCTACTATTTTCACTAAGTACTGTTAAATAAGCTTGACAAAATGAGATACTCTTACATGAATTCCTGGTCCTAAAGAATTTAGTCCTTTCTTCAGCATACAAATTAATGCATGAATTCATTTGCTTTATAAAACTATAAAAATACAGAAGTATACAAAAAGCAAATGTCTCCTTTTATCTTCTCTGTTCCCACATCCCTCGGGGACATAACTACTGTCTCCTTATTTAGGGTATTTTTCCAGTCTTACTCTGCCTTTACAGGGACCTATGTACAAAACAATGTATTTTTTCCAAATAAATTTTAAATTGGCCTTTAGTTGTACAGTCTATGAGCATATTATCCTTGTAAAAATAATAAAACATTAATGTGGCTGGGCGCAGTGGCTCATGCCTGTAATCCCAGCACTTTGGGAGGCCAAGGCGGGTGGATCACCTGAAGTCAGGAATTTCTCAAGACCAGGCTGGCCAACATGGCGAAACCCCTTCTCTATTAAAGAAATATAAAAATTAGCCAGGCGTGGTGGTGGGCACCTGTAGTCACAGCTACTCAGGAGGCTGAGGCAGAACTGCTTGAACTCAGGAGACGGAGATTGCAGTAAGCTGAGATTGCACCACTGCACTCCAGCCTGAAAAACAGAGTGAGACTCCATTTCAAAAAAAAAAAAGTAAGTCCTAAATTACTACACTCAATTCCCATTAATAATCACTATTCTCATTTTGGCATATGTTCTTCCAGGTTTTTTCCAGACCTTCACTTACATACACGTACATGTATCCATATTTAATAACATTTCTGTGAATCTATTTTTACATAACTGGTACTACATTTAATATACTGTCTTTCAACTTTTCTTTCATTCAAAAAATGTTTTAGAGATCTTTCTACATCAGTAAACACAAACTGTCGAATTAATTTTGTGCTATAACCATTGTAGGAATTTGCCATGGTTATTTAGCTTGTCCTCTACTGGTGATATTAAGTGGTTTTCTGTTTTTCCCTATTAAAGAGGGCAGCCACAAACATATTCATGCCAGCTTCCTTGTGCACCTGTACATGGGCTGCTTCTGGGTAGGTATCAAAAGGGAGCACAAAGAACATGAACATTTTTTATTTTAAGACATAACCCAAATTCTCCCAAGGAATTTCTGAAGTATAATTCTGGTGCCTTAAAGGCCAACACATAATGAAAAAAGAAGACTCTTAGTTACAGTTAAGTGTTCTATTTTCAACCAAAACTTTTCTAATCCTAGAGGAGTTTAACAATCTGGCATCTTGAACAGAAATCACCATTAATTTCTGCACCAGTTATTAGCAATGCAATATCTTAACAGTCTTGAAAGATCCATTTATTCAACAATAATTACCAAAATTAAAAACACACAACCCTGGCCCCAGGAATAAATGGCCAAATTCATCCAATAGCTATACTTGCACATGTGTGAGATAACATATATTCAAAGTTATTCATCACAGATGCAAGTCAGTAGGTCTGGCCAAAAGTCCAGCTAAATTCAAAGTGACATAATAAATTATGATCCTGGAAGGGAATTCAATGTATGACTTACTTCAAACAGTAAATTAACTCAAAGTTTGGGAGCTATAAAATATTGATAAATTTAACCATTAAAAAATTGCTCAATGGCAAAAAAATACACAAAGCAAATATATCAAAATATAAATGACAAACTCTACAAAAAGTTATTTATAATTCACATCACTAAAGAGCTTGACTCTCATACATAAAGAACATCTAAAATCAGTAATTTTTTTTAGAGACCAACCATTCAGGCCAGGCAAAGTGGTTCACTCCTATAGTCCCAACACTGGGAGGCCGAGGTAGGTGAGGTGCTTGAGCCCAGGAGTTCGAGACCAGCCTGGACAACATAGTGAGGCCTTATCTCTATTAAAAAATTTAAAAATTAGCCAGCATGGTAGCATGTGCCTGTAGCCCCAGGTACTCAGGAGGTTGAGGTGGGAGGATCACTTGAGCCTGGGAGGTTCAAGGCTGCAGTAAGCCGTTATTGGACCACTGCACTCCAGCCTGGGGGACAGGAAGGAGATTCTGCCTCAAAAAAAAAAAAAAAAGCCAACCATTCAACAGAAAAATGGGCATATGACATAAAAGGATATTTCATATAAAAAGAATTACAATGGACTCAACACTTGAAAAGATGCTCATACTCATTCATAAATTCGATGTAAAACCTACTAAATAAAAACAATTCAAAACACAATTTTTCGCACGCATCCATAGTTTCAACTACTTGGGAGGCTGAGGCAGAAGAACTGCTTGAACCTGGGAGACAGAGGTTGCAGTGTGCCCCTATCATGCCACTACACTCCCTCCAGCCTGGACGATATAGTGAGACTCTATCTCTAAAAAAAAAAAACCCACACCATTTTTCACTATCAGATTGGCAAAAATTCAGAAATTCAGAAGTCTAGTAATGTACACGGCAGGTAAGTTATGGGAAAATGTTAGCCTTCATATTGCTGCTGAGAATGTAAATCTGTATAACCTGAACGGGAAACGATTATAGAAATAAAAAATGCAGGCCGGGCAGATCACTTGAGGTCAGGAGTTCAAGACCAACTTGGCCAACATGGTGACACCTGTCTCCACTAAAAATACAAAACTTAGCGGGGCATGGTGGTGCATGCCTGTAATCCCAGCTACTCCAGAGGCTGAGGCAGGAGAACTGCTTGAACCAGGGAGGCAGAGGTTGCAGTGAGCCAAGATGACGCCAACCTGGACGACAGAATGAGATTCCATCACCAAAAAAAAAAAAAAGCACATGTGCTTTAATCAGTAACCCTACTCTTAGGAATTAATCCTACAGATACTCTTACAGATGTATGAAATAATATATGTACAAAGTTACCTCATCTCAGACCTGTTTGTAAAAGCAAAAGGTCAAAAACAACCTAAATGTCCAAAAATAGGGGTGTGGCTAAATAAATTATGTTACATCGTAAATCTTATACATCTGTCCTATACAGAACTGCAAAAACAATTGAGGAAACTGGTTGTTTGCAGCTGGACATGGGCATGAAAGACCAGAGACGGGGAGACAACTTTTTAAGGATTACAAAAATATTCTTAAACTGGACTGTGGTGATGGGTGAACAACCCTAGACATTTACAAAAATTCCATAACAGCCAGGTGTGGAGGCTTACGCCTGTAATCCCAGAGCTTCAGGAGGCCAAGTGGCAGTATCTCTTGAGAGGAGGTGTTCAAGAACAGCCTAGGCAACATAGTGCTACCGTGTCTGTACAAACAAATTTGTTTTAATTAGCTGGGCATGGTAGCACACACCTGCAGTCCCACCTGTTCAGGAGGCTGAGGTTGGAAGATTGCTTGAGCCCAGGAGTTTGAGGTTAACACTGAACTATGATAGTGCTACTGCACTCCTGCCTGTGTGACAGAGTAACAATTTGTTTCTAAAAGAAGAAAATAGGCCAGGCGTGGTGGCTCACGCCTATAATTCCAGCACTTTGGGATGCGGAGGTGGGCAGATCACCAGGTCAGGAGATCAAGACCACCCTGGCTAACACGTTGAAACCCCGTCTCTACTAAAAATAAAAAAAATTAAAAATAAATTAGCTGGGCATGGTGGCGGGTGCCTGTAGTCCCAGCTACCTCGGAAGGATGAGGCAGGAGAATGGCGTGAACTTGGGAGGCAGAGGTTGCGGTGAGCTGAGATCGCACCACTGCACTCCAGCCTGGGCAACAGAGCAAGACTCTGTCTCAAAAAAATAATAAATAAATAAATAAATAAAATAAATTTTTAATTAAAAATGAATCTAAAATTCCTTGATTTTTACACTTAGAATGGTTTAATTTTTTTGGTGTGCAAGTTATACCTCAATAAAAGTTGTTAATAAGAACACACAAGGCTAGGCGTGGTGGCTCATACCTGTTAATTCCAGCACTTTGGGAGGCCGAGGTGGGCAGATCACTTGAGGCCAGGAATTTGAGACTGGCCTGGCCAACGTGGCCAAACCCCGTCTCTACTAAAAAATACAAAAAATACTAAAAAATAGCCCGGGTGACATAGCAAGACTGTCTTAAAAAAACAAAAACAAAACAAACAAAAAAACACCCACAAATGAGGGGATCTCTATGTAATAATAACACAAACATCTCCCAGATGTGTTAAGTGACAAAATTTAAAAGTGCAGAACAGTGTGTGTAATTTACAAGCTGAAAGTAAAGGGTAGGAGAGATAGGGAAGTAAGACGGCAAACTTGTGTTTGCCTTTCTACGTGTGGAAACAATACACAAAAACAATGACTGTACAGAAAGAAGGGAAATTTAACAATTGGAGGTAAAAGGTAGGATGAAAGGGTTTTTACTATATTCTTTTATAAGTATTTTTTAAAACTTTTCAGCCATATGTTTGAATATTCAAAAAATTAAACTAGGATATTTGGACTTTAATAATACAGATACAACTTATAATGTAAGTTGTTTGCTTCTTCATTTCGTTACATATTATATTTCATATGATTTTGCAATCATCCTGATTGTCCCCAAGAGTCTGCCTTTGTGAAGAATTGTGCCTACAGAAACTTTGCATCCTCAATATTCTGGGGACAGTTCCAGTTTCAAATATTCAATTCCAATGTTACTGATTTACAAATTAATAAAGGCTCTTAGAAATTCCAAGTTTTGGCTGGGTGCAGTGGCTCACGCCTGTAATCCCAGCACTTTGGGAGGCCAAGGCAGGTGGATCATTTGAGGTCAGGTGTTCAAGAACAGCCTGTCCAACATGGTGAAACCCCATCTCTACTAAAAATACAACAAAAGTAGCCAGTTGTGGTGGCTCATGCCTGTAATCCCAGCTACTTGGGAGGCTGAGGCAGGAGGAACGCTTGAACCCGGGAGGCAGAGGCTGCAGTGAGTTGAGATCATGCCACTGCACTCCAGCCTGAGGGACAGGGTGAGACTGTGTCTCAAAAAAAAAAAAAAAAATTCCAAATTTTCCATCTACAGTGATAGGAAAAGGAACCCCTAAAAAATCTTTTTTTCAATCACATGACCAAATTAAAGGTTGGGTAAGGTAAAACTCATCCAGAATATGCATAAAACTTGAACTTTAACTTTTTTGATTACTAACAAGATAAATTTATAGATCTACTTTTATGTAACAGTAACAGAACAGGTACAACATGGACCCCAAAGTCTCTGCTGAGCAGAAAACTGGAAATGACTAGAAATATACTGACAGAAGAGAAAAGCTAAAGTAGAACTACATAGTCAAGAAGAAAGCTCCGAGGGAAGGTTGTGGATTCAAATGAATACGTAGATAGCTCTTCTAAGACTCCACAATACATTCCTCATTCCTGTAGAGCCAGACTACTCCTTCCCAAAACCTACAGGGCAGCAAATCTAAGATCCACAAAAACCAGAGCTCCTATTTTATTAACTGCTCCCCTTGTGCCAAGCATTATGCTTTAGTAATCTCATTTCATCTCAGCAACACTATGACATAGGTGCTGCTATCCTCAGTACCGAAGCGCAGTAACTAAAGATCAACATCACACAAACGTCAAAGTTAAGGCCAAAAAAATATATGCTACTAGAGGATTTCCACTTTTCCTCTCTTATTTTTTACTATATTTTAAATACTGATCATTAACACAAACTTCTACAAGTAAAAAAATTTTATATAATGAAGTAGTACATGCTCATTTTAAAAACCAAACATTGTAACTTCACAAAGTAGACATTAAACATTTTCTATACTGTCACCAGCTAGAGACCATCACTATTAACTTGTTACAGGTCTTTCCAGACCTTTTCTTAAAAGCATTAACAGCTGATGTGCCAAGTCAGTACAATTATCTACTTATACTATACATATGTAAATATGAGGTAAAATGTCTACCTATAGATAGTATAAATTGTAAGCAAAAGCAAATTGTTGCTCAAACCTAGGTTAAGTCAAGTTTGGATTTAACTATATAGAATATTCTAAAAAGCACATAAACCAAAAAAAAAAAATGATGAAAGAGAAGGTGGAAAGATGAAAGCAGGAAAGGGCCAAATACAGTCTAGCAACTCAATTCAGCAATACAGCCAGTTTGTCACTACCTACCTACTTAAGAGCTGATTCTAACATCTATTTCCATGGTAACTAGGCATTAAGCAAAAAATATATATATACCAGACTTTTAGGAAAAGATTCCTTTCTCCTCCACCAGAAAAATGCCTAGTTTGGCAAATTTAAGCAATGTAATCTGGAAGTCTGACTTTATGTCAGAAATTTCAGTATATTAGACTGTAAAACATCTTAAAATAGTTATTAAGTAATTGGAGGGGGTGGACTACAAGGAGTAAAACTGATCATCTACAAATATCATAATCTTAGTTTCTAAAATTAGAGTTCCAGTTGCCTTCTATTGACATACAATATGTCCAAAACCCAGTAAAATATTTAAAATTATAAAACGCAATATATAAACAAGAACTATTTACTGACATCTAGTACCACCTGGCCACCTGGAAAATTGACACTGGACTTTCAAATCTGAACCTTTAAAAATTAATGTAAGCATAAATTAAATTTTAAGTAAAAACATACAGTAAAATAATACCTCTTTCGTTACTGATAGGATATGGGCAGAATAATGATATGCAAACCAGCAGCATTTTTTTTTTTTTTTTTTTGAGACAGAGTCTTACTCTGTCACCCAGGCTGGAGTGCAGAGGTGTGATCTCGGCTCACTGCAACCTCCGCCTCCCGGGTTCAAGCAATTCTCCCGCTTGAACCCAGGGGTTCAAGCAATTCTCCCGCTTGAACCCAGGGGTTCAAGCAATTCTCCCGCTTGAACCCAGGGGTTCAAGCAATTCTCCCGCTTGAACCCAGGGGTTCAAGCAATTCTCCCGCTTGAACCCAGGGGTTCAAGCAATTCTCCCGCTTGAACCCAGGGGTTCAAGCAATTCTCCCGCTTGAACCCAGGGGTTCAAGCCTCCTGAGCAGCTGGGATTACAGGCGCTTGCTACCACACCCGGCTGATTTTTTGTATTTTTAGTAGAGACGGGGTTTCACCATGTTGGCCAGGCTGGTCTTGAACTCCTGACCTCAAGTTATCCGCCCGCCTCAGCCTCCCAAATTGCTGGGGTTACAGGCGCAAGCCACCGTGCCCAGCCATATCTTTTTAAAAATATGCTCAACATTTTGAAACCATGTAAATATTTTACATCAAAAAAATTGAAAAGGAAAAAACAGCACTCCTTAGAAACCAAAACCAAACTGAAGTAAATGTTCTATTTTCAACTGCTGACATAAATACACAGAGAATTATTATTTCAAGTATCTTAAATATTAATATTTATTTAAAATATTATTTTTTATTAAAATTTATAAAATTTTATTTTCATTTAAAAAGTATTCTGAGCTTACATCCCTACTGGAATACAGCCTAAGGATGTAAATAGACAGACAAAGGAATCTCAAACTACATTATGGTATTGTTATCTCAAAGCTAATATGTGTTATATGTATAATATAATGTTAATGTTGTTAGGAACCAACATTTTTAGCATAAGATAAAAAATGATATAGGCCGGGCATAGTGGCTCACGCCTGTAATCCCACCACTTTGGGAGGCTAAGGCAGGTAGATCACTTGAGGTCCAGAGTTCGAGACCGGCCTGGCCAACATGGCAAAACCTGGTCTCTAATAATAATACAAAAATTAGCCAGGCATGGTGGCACGTGCCTGTAATCCCAGCTACTTGGGATGCTAAGGCAGGAGAATTGCTTGAACCTGGGAGGCAGAGGTTGTAGTGAGCCGAGATCATGCCACTGCACTCTAGCCTGCGGGGGGACAAAGCAAGACTCCATCTCAATTTAAAAAAAAAAAAGGCCAGGCACGGAGGCTCACGCCTGTAATCCCAGCACTTTGGGAGGCCAAGGCAGGCGGATCCGGAGGTCAGGAGTTCGAGATCAGCCTGGCCAATATAGTGAAACCCTGACTCTACTAAAAATACAAAAATTAGCCAGGCATGGTGGAGGGTGCCTATAATCCCAGCTACTCGGGAGGCTGAGGCAGGGGAATCGCTTGAACCTGGGAGGTGGAGGTTGCGGTGAGCCAAGATCACGCCACTGCACTCCAGCCTGGACAACAGAGCGAGACTACGTCCCAAAAAAAAAAAAAGACACAACTATAAAAGAAGTTACATGGCTGTACTCATCAAGAAGGCATCACAGGCAAAGAGGGAAGCCCCTGCTCTCCCAACGTCAAAGCCAAACCAAAGGCTCTAAAGGCCAAAACAGCAGTGCTGAAAGGTATCCGTATCCACAGCCACACAAAAAAGAGAAGATCTTCACGTCACCCACCTAAGGACAGCCCAAAACACTGCTGCTGTTCTGGAGGCAGCCCAAATATCCTTGGAAGACTGGTCCAGTCCAGGAGAAACCAGCTTGACCACTATGCTATCAAGTTTCCCCTGACCACTGAGTCAGCCATGAAAAGAACAGAAAGTCAACAACATTCTTGTGTTCACTGTGGATGTCAAGGCCAACAAATACCAGATCAAACAGGCTAAGAAAAAGCTCTGTGGCACTGACATGGCCAATATCAACACCCTGATCAGGCCTGATGGAAAGAAGGCCCATGTTCTACCGGTTCCTGACTATGATGACGTTGCCAACAAAATTGGGATCATCTAAAGTGAGCCCAGCTGGCTAACACTAAATAGACATATTTTTCACCATAAAATAAATAAATAAATCATAAAATAAGTTAAACAAAACCTCTGTAATTTTTCATGAAAACTGGAAATATCAGTATGAATTGAAAATTTATTCTTCTCTTTTTTTTTGAGACAGGGTCTCACTCTATCACCCAGGCTAGGGTGCAGTGGCACAATCTCAACTCACTGCAGCCTTGACCTCCAGGCTCGGGTGATCTTCCCAAGTAGTTGGGACTATAGGCACACACCACCATGCCTGGCTAATTTTTTTGAGCTTTTTGTAGAGACAGGGTTTTGCCATGTTGCCCAGGCTAGTCTCGAACTCCTGGGCTCAAGTGATCCGCCCACCTCAGCCTCCCAGAGTGCTTAGGTTACAGGAGTGAGCCACCTCACCCAGCCATAATTTACTCTAATTAAAAAAAAAAAAAAGGAGGAAGGAAGGAAGGAAGGAAGGAAGGAAGGAAGGAAGGAAGGAAGGGAGGAAGGAGGGAGGGAAGGAAGGGAGAGAGTACTTCCTGTATCTAAATACTAAAAAACCATAGAAGTCATGACCAACCCAGCAGCAATGAGCACCCTTAACACCCTGATTGTGATCTCTAAAAACCATTTCCCACTTGAGAAAACCAGGGCTACTTGTTCTTTTCTTTTTATATATATATTTGATGTCATTAATGTCTCAGCAACCAGGGTTCCTTAAAGAAATAGCTGATTCCAGATGCGGAGCAGGAAATGTACAAAGTGAACCTGATATCCCTTGTGCCAGAAAGAGAGTAAGTTATTGAAAACCGATGGGACAATATTCAAAAGAACACAGGAACCCATCTGAAGGGGTTCCAACTGGCCAAAGATGAGACAATTGAAACATGAAAAACAGCAACTACAATGGATTAAAACACATCACATACATAAAAATCCCTAACACTAAAAATAATAAAAGAAAGAAGAAAAATTTACTGGTCGTTTTAGTGGGTTCCTAGGACACCAACTCATTATTATAAAAACTGGCAAAACGAGGTGGGAGAGGAATTAAATTTTTATAGCCTCCACTTCTAGATTTTAAAGACAGTAAATACATGAAATAAAAGTTTTCTTTACAAAAGAATTTCAACTAATAAATGTAGGAGTGATATAATTCCAAAATCACCGTTTTGCAATCCTTATATAATGGATCTAGTCAACAATCCTCAGATGCTGCGAAAACCTTTGTGTGAAAGTTGATAAGAACTTTATAAAGGATAGATCAAGCCAACATAATCTAAAACCACTGACCAATCCCAGCAATACTGAAAGTGAACCAACCTCATGATGGTAACTAATAGAAAGAATACAGCACCTCTTATAAACAATGCTCACCAAAAAAAAATACCCTCTAGAACGAATGTTCAGTTTACAGGAAATTACAGGGGTTAAACCAAACCACAAAGATGTAATCAGCCAAACAGAATGTGGGAAATTCTACAGGTTAAATAACAGTTTCTTCATCAAATAAAGGGCATGAAAAGGGTGGAGATTTAAGAGACCATTTAGAACCGTATCTTCCAACTGCAATATGAAGACTTTATTTGGGTCCTAATGTAAACGAACAAATTGCAAAGACATTTTAGAGACAGGCTAATCTGAACATGTTCTTGCTACCAGATGCCATTAAGGAATTAATGTTAATGTTATTCATTGTGACAATGGTATGACAGTTGTACTATGAAAGGAAAGTTCAAGTGTGTCAGAGATACATACCGAAATACATATGGGTGAAATGATATCTGGAATTTGCTTTAAAATGCTACATGGTGAGGGAGAAAGGAGAGAAGAGGGGCAGCAGAGTGAAACAGATAATACCAAGATGGCAAAATATTGGCAACTGGTGATGCTAGGCCATGAATATGTAAAACATCAGTGAACTTTATTTTTGTATGTTGTAAATTTCCATAAAGTTTTAAAGCTGTATCACCAGCATGTTTGTTACCATGAAGTGTATTCGTCTCTAATCATTTATTTTTACTAGTCTCCAGAATTAACACCACTAATTTTCCAAAAATTAGAAAATGTTATGTTTCAACTTATATATTTAGTCTAAAAATCAATTACCGTATTACATTATATATATCCATATATATGAATATAACGTATATTTATATATATCCATATATATGAATATAACGTATATTTATATATATCCATATATATGAATACAATGTATATTTATATATATCCATATATATGAATATAATGTATATTTATATATATCCATATATATGAAAATGACTATCTGCATTATAAAGTCACTGTGCCTATCCACAGTTAAATATTTGTTTAGCAGAATTGTATTTACATATAGCGTTTCATTCTACTTCAATTTTATTTGAGATCTTCATTTTACTTAATTAGAACTCCATATCTCTTTCATCAACACCTAATCACAGTTAATACTACAATCAGAACAATTTAAGTTATAACTCAAGGGGCACAGAGATGGGGAACCAAACCATACTGTTAATGTTTGCCATAAAAGCTGGCTTCAATCCATGCACAGAGGCATTTCATTCATTAAAAACTGCAGTCTCAGCCCAGCACAGTGGCATTTCATTCATTAAAAACTGCAGTCTCAGCCCAGCACAGTGGCATACACCTGTAATCCTCCTGTAAAGCTACTCGGGAGGCAGAGGCAAGAGGATGGCTTGAACCCAGGAGTTCCAAGCCAGCCTAGACAACAAAGTGAGATGCCACGTCAAAAAAAAAGCAGTCTTACTGTAAGTCTCTCATTATACTTTCTAGAGCCACCTTAAAGTGTGACCCTAATACAAGTTCATGTACATAAGAAGCTTTTTGGTGTTTTCCTAAGGGATAAACTGTGGTTTGGTTTTGTTTTTTATTGAGACAGAGTCTTGCCCTGTCACCCAGGCTGGAGTGCAATGGCGTGATCTTGGCTCACTGCAACCTCCGCCTCCAGGGTTCAAACGATTCTCCTGCCTCAGCCGCCCGAGTAGCTGGGATTACAGGAGCCCACCACCACGCCCAGCTATTTTTTGTATTTTTAGTAGAGACGGGGTTTCTTGAACTCCTGACCTTGTTATCCACCCACCTCTGCCTCCCATAGTACTCAGATTAAAGGCGTGAGCCACTGTGCCTGGCCTAAACTGTGTTTTTGAAATTATCTGAAGGTTTAATACCTGAAGAAATAATAAACGCTCAGAGTTCAGCCTAGTCAAAAATTAACACCAGCCTCTAATACATCAGAGAGTTATTTACTCATAGAAACAAATGCTTCTTGCCTATCAGTGTTTAATGGTATCATTTGAGATCTGAATCCTGGCACTGGTTTTTAAAAGCGGAGCAGTTCTCTGGAAAAGAACTCTGGATTATGAGTTAGGAGATCCAAGTTAGGGGGTTGGTCTATGCCAGAGTTTGAACTCATAATTCTTGTTCATTGGTGGTTAGCTGCTTGAAGCAGTAGTACTATCTTGCAAAGGATTCTAAAGCTTCATTTAGGAGCAACCAATTTTTAAACGTATGATGCAAAAAATATAGAACTAAAAAAGAGTGTAGCTTCCTGGGTATCTTTTTATTGTCACAGAAGTAATTTAAGTATTTAGTCCTGTTCTTAAATATCCAAATGGGTTCCTGAAACACTGTCCCTCTACCCACATGTTACTCTACCCTCGCTCCCCCATAAAAGAAACCCAGAAAAACTACTGGTGGGGAGAGGTACTTCCATTTGCTTTTTCATTCTATCCAGCAACCAATAAGCGGTGTGACTGTCAGAAAAACAGGCTCTGGGCCAGGCACAGTGGCTCATACCTGTAATCCCAGCACTTTGGGAGGCTGAGGCGGGCAAACCGCTTGAGGTCAGGAGTCCGAGAACACCCTGGCCAACATGGCAAAACCCCATCTCTACCAAAAAATACAAAATTTAGCCAGGTGGGGTGGCGGGTGCCTGCAATCCCAGCTACTTGGGAGGCTGAGGCACAAGAATCACTTGAACCCAGGAGGTGGAGGTTGTAGTGAGCCGAGATCATGCCACTGCACTCCAGCCTGGGCGACAGAATGAGACTCCGTCTCATAAAAAAAAAAAAAAGAAAAACAGACTCTGGAGGTCAAAATTGAGTTCAACTCTATGCTCTATAACTTTCTCTGGTCCCCATTTTCCCTATCTGTAAACAGGGAAAATTAAAGTATTCTCATAGTGCTATCATGAAGATTAAATGAGATATCTGTGCTTAGAAGACAACATAACACATACAAAGCAGTACTCAATAAACTTCATCATTTTTAATTATTATTATTATTACTATATTTAGCTTATTCTACATTAAAGATGCCTTGCAAGGAGAAAAAAGGAACTACAAGAATACTTTTTTTTTTATTTTTTGTGAGACAGAGTCTCGCTCTGTAGCCAGGCTGAAGTGCAGTGGCACGATCTCAGCTCACTGCAACCTCCACCTCCCAGGTTCAAGCGATTCTCCTGCCTCAGCCTCCCGAGTAGCTGGGACTACAGGTGCATGCCACCACGTCCAGCTAATTTTGTGTGTGTATATTTTTAGTAGAGGCGGGGTTTCACTATATTGGCCAGGATGGTCTCAATCTCTTGACCTCATGATCTGCCTGCCTCGGCCTCCCAGAGTGCTGGGATTATAGGCGTGAGCCACTACGCCCAGCCAACAATACATTTTTTTAAGTATTCTTTTTTTTTTTTTTTTTTTTTTTTTAGTATACAGACAGGGTCTCACTATGTTTCCCAGGCTGGTTTTGAATTCCTGGGCTCAAACAATCTTCCTGCCTCAGCCTCCCAAAGTGTTGGGATTATAGGCGTGAGCCACCACACCCAGGCGAATCTACTTTTTCTACTGTAAATTTTATTAAATCTAAATACAGAACAAGCATCTCTGCTGAAAATTTAGTGCCCAGTGTGGTGGCTCACGCCTGTTATCTGAACACTTTGGGAGGCCAAGGCGGGAGAATCGCTTGAGCCCAGGAGTTTGAGACCAGCCTGGGCAACATGGTGAAACCTTGTCTTTACAAAAAATACAAAAAATTAGCCAAGCGTGCTGGCACACACTTGTAGTCCTAATTACTTGGGAGACTGAGGTGGGAGGATCGCTAGAGCCTAGAAAGTCAAGGTTGCAGTGAGCTGTGATCACACCACTGTACTCCAGCCGGTGAGAGTGAGACCCTATTTCTTTTTTTTTTTTTTTTTTTTCTCCTTTTGAGACAGGGTGGCCTTGCCCTGGCCCAGGCTAGGGTGCAGTGGTGCAATCTCAGCTCACTGCAACCTCCCTCCACCTCCCAGGCTCAAGCAATCCTCCCACCTCAGCTACCGGAGTAGCTGGGACCACAGGTGCCCACCACCTTGCCTAACTAATTCTTTTTTTTTTGTGAGATGCAGTCTCGCTCTTATCACCCAGGCTGGAGTGCAGTGGCCTGATCTCAGCTCACTGCAACCTCTGCCTCCCAAGTTCAAGTGATTCTCCTGCCTCAGCCTCCCAAGTAACTGGGATTACAGGTGCCTGCTACCACACCCAGCTAATTTTTGTGTTTTTAGTAGAGAGGGGGTTTCAAAACTCCTGACCTCAGGTGATCCGCCCACCTCGGCCTCCCAAAGTGCTAGGATTACAGGCATGGGCCACCGCGCCCAGCCAACTAACTCTTTTATATTTTTAGTGGAAACGGGGTTTCGCCATGTTGCCCAACCTGGTCTCAAACTCCTAGGCTCAAGTGATCCACCCACCTCGGCTTCCCAAAGTGCTGGTATTACAAGCATAAGCCACTGTGCCTGGCTGACTCTGTCTCAAAAAACGGAAAAAAAAAAAAAAAAAAAAAAAACAGCAAAAAAAAACAAAGAAACAAGGAAAAGGAAGGGAAGGGGAAGGGAAAGGGGAAGGGGAAAGAGATGGGGAGGGGGAAGTGTAAAGGGAGGGAGGGGAGGAAGGAAGGAAGGAAGGAAAAAGGGAAAGGGAAGTGGAAGAGAAGGAGGGGAAAGGAGGGGAGGGGAGGGGAGGGAAAGGAGTGGGGACAGAAAGACAGAAAGAATTTAGTATCCAAATTGAGACATGCCATAGGTATAAATATACACCAGATTTCAAAGATATAGTATTAAAAAATGTAAAATATCTCAATAATTTTGATATCATTACATGTTGAAATAACAATGTTTTGGATATGCTGGGTTAAATTAAACATTATCATAATGAATTTCAACACCTGTTTCTTTTTATTTACTTAATACAGCTATTATAAAAGTTAAAATTACACATGGCTTGCATTATACTCCTATTGATAACACTGCTCTAAACAATACACGTTAGCACTTGAACACCTGCCCACTGCTTCTCCTTTCTCTTATTTGTCATTACTAATAACTGCTGTGGGTCACTTAGTAGAGGCCATGCTAAATGCTTTACATGGATTACCTCATTCAATCCTTCCAAAGTAGGAGGTACATTTTATCATTGTCCTCATTTCAGACAAGATTAAAATTTAAGCATCACAGAAGGTTACATTACTTGCCTAACATCACAAGGCAGTAAGTAATAGTGCCAGGATTAGAATTCAGTTTGAGAGTTTATATTCTTCTTTTTTTCTTTTTTTTGAGACGGAGTCTCGCTCTGTCGCCTAGGCTGGAGTGCAGTGGCGCGATCGGCTCAATGCAAGCTCCGCCTCCCGGGTTCACGCCATTCTCCTGCCTCAGCCTCTCGACTAGCTGGGACTACAGGCGCCCGCCACCACACCCGGCTAATTTTTTGTATTTTTAGTAGAGACAGGGTTTCACCGTGTTAGCCACGATGGTCTCAATCTCCTGACCTTGTGATCCGCCTGCCTCGGCCTCCCAGAGTGCTAGGATTACAGGCCTGAGCCACCACACCCGGCCAGAGAGTTTATATTCTTAACCAATGACGCTGTACTATCTTCCACCCAAAATTTGTATTCCTGAATTTTATGTTATCTAAAGACACTGCCCCCAAAACAAATATTTTCCAGTGGTTCTAAAAGCCAGTCCTTTTTTAAATTAAAAACTAGAGGTGGGGGAAAAAAAAAAAAGCAAAGCAAAAAACAAAGCCTACACAACTTGACTCCAAGAACGAAGATTAGGCTGGACACAGTAGCTCACTCCTGTAATCCAGCACTTTGAGGGGCCAAGGCAAGAAGATCATTTGAGGCCAGAAGTTCGAGACCAGCCTTGGCAACATAGTGAGATCCCATCTCTAAAAAAAACGAGAAACAGCCAGGCATGGTGGCACATGTCTGTAATGCCAGCTATTTAATACTTGGGACACTAAAGTGGGAGGATCACTTGAGCCCAGGGGTTCAAGGCTGCAGTGAGCTATGATCATGCCATTGCACTGCAGCCTGCAGAACACAGCGAGACCCTGTCTAAAATACAATAAAATGTAAAAAGAACAAAGATTAACCAAAGCTATATGAATCTGACTTCCAAAAATTAGGTGCACAGGTAATAAGCACTCTTTTATCATAATGCAATGCACACTAGCTATACTACATATTCTAAATTATTAGAAATTGGTTATTTGGAGACATTTAGTAAAGTGGTTCATCCCTAACTCTACAATATATTACAGGTATTTTTTTTTGGCACATATAAACCAAACATGAGTATTTTACATGCATCATCATATTTAATAACAAAGCAAGCAATGAAGTAAATGTTATTAGCCACATTTCTCATATACTGAAAATAAAACTCAAAGAAGTAAATTGCCTAGGCCAGGCACGGTGGCTCACGCCTATTATCACAGCACTTTGGAAGGCTGCGGTGGACAGATATCTTGAGTCCAGGAGTTTGAGACCAGCGTGGCAACATGGTGAAACCCTGCCTCTACAAAAAACTTGCCAGGCGTGGTGGCATACACCTGTAGTCTCAGCTACTTGGGAGGCTGAGGTGGGTGGATCACTTGAGCCCAGGAGGTGGAGGCTGCAGTGAGCCAAGATCACACCACAGCACTCCAGCCTGGGCAACAGAGGAAGACCCTGTCCCGAAAATAAAAAAAAAGAAAAGAAATGACAACATTAACTTCAAAAAATACCATCTGAGCACATACAAAACAATCTTGTGTGATTTAAAAGTGCAATTACTCAAGGTCCCTTTTCATTATCTTCTATAGCAATCCTTTAGAAAATCATGTTAAACAGAAAAGCTGCCTACTTAAAAAGTGAACTGTATCTTAGAGATTAAGACAGATTCAAATCATAAAACAAATTAAGAGTTAAGGGGCACTCATCTGTTTTTCCACCATTGTGCTATAAATCATCACCATCCTCATCATGCAAAGGTCTGGAAAGGCTGAATTCTAAAACAAACATCTGCCTTTAGAAGAGTCAGGCACTCAAATTGGAGTTTATCAAACCCAGTGGTTACCTTGGAGACTACCCATCACCACAAGCATATACCTAGCAGATAAGATCAAGCAGAAAGCATCTGCTAATTAAGTGTATTCTATGCATGGCCTGTCTGTATTAGTACGTAATTTCCATCTTCATAAAATTCCTTTGTGGTAAATAGTAAATACTAATCTCATTTTATAGCGAGGCCTAAGAAGCTAAATCATTTTGCCACACTAAGGAAACTCTGGTAGGCAGAATGCACTCCCCCTCCCCACAAAATGACCACATCCGAATCTCCAAAACATGTGAAAATGTTATCTATCAAGGGGAAATTTAAAGCTGACATGGAATCAGAGTTGCTAATTAGTTGACCTTGAAAGGGGGAGATTAGCTTGTATTATCTGGGTGAGCCCTATTTAATATAAACACAAGGATACTTATAAGTGAAAGAGGGAGGCAGGAGAGATAGTGTCAGAGACAGATTTGAAGACACCAGGCTGCTGGCTTTGAAAATAGGAGAGACCAGAGGCAAAGGAGGAAATACAGCCTCTAGAAGCTGGAAAAGAGGCAAGGAAACCAATTCTCCCCTAGAGCCTGAAGAAGAAATGCCCAGTGAGACCCACGTCAGACCTCTGACTTCCGGATTTGTTCAAAACTCCTCCCTCTCGATACACACATAAAAACACACATACACTTACAACTAACAACTCACACAGTATTTGGCACTTCTAAATGTTCTGTGTACTAAGAAAACTAGATATCCAAGTAAAGATATATATTAAAGAGGCAGAAACAGCATTAATATTAGTAGGAGCTCTGGTTTGAAGTAGTTTAGGTTTAAATCCTCACTATGCCACTTACTAGTGGCATGACCTTAGTTAGGTAAATTATATAATCTCTCTCGGCCTTGAGTTTTTCATCTGTAAAATAAGAATATATCTATGTACCTCTCAGGGTATTTTGAGAATTAAAATTTTAAATGGGCCAGGCACGGGGACTCACGCCTATAATCCCAGCACTTTAGGAGGCAGAGGCAGGGGGATCACTTGAACCGGGGAGTTCAAGATCAGCCTAGGCAACATAGTGAGACCCTGTCTCTATGAAAAAAGTTAAAAATTCGCCAGGCATGGTGGTGGACACCTGTACTCCCAGCTACTCAGGAGGCTAAGGTGGGAGGATCACCTGGGCCCAAGAGGTCAAGGTTACAGTCAGCCATGATCACGCTACTATATTCCTGCCCAGGCAACAGAGCAAGAAACTCTGTCTTCAAATAAGAAAAAACTACATATAATGTAAGAAAAGACTGACATATATTAAGCACTGAATAAGCAGTGGCAAAATTATCATATGATAATAACAAAAACAATAATAATTACAGCATAAAGAACATGATGACCAGGAAAGAGGCTGGTGTGATAAATATTTTAATGCTATTTCAGAACAAGACAAGACTGATGACAGTTAGTTTGAGATAAATGGGATGTTACTTTAGCAATAAAGACAAATTTAGAAATTACATGCCTACTAAAAAATAAGATTGTGCTGGCTGGGCACGGTGGCTCACTTTGGGAGGCTGAGACAGGCAGATCACAAGGTCAGAAGATCGAGACCATCCTGGCTAAGACAGTGAAACCCCGTCTCTACTAAAAATACAAAAAATTAGCCAGGCGTGGTGGCACACACCTGTAGTCCCAGTTACTCGGGAGGCTGAGCCAGGAGAATCACTTGAACATGGAAGGCAGAGGCTGCAGTGAGCCGAGATCATACCACTGCACTCCAGCCTGGGCAACAGAGTGAGACTCCATCTCAAAAAAAAAAAAAATTGGACTGTGCTAATTACTAAAGTATATGAGGATTAACTACTATTTATTATTACAGATTTATAATATATCATGTCAAAGCATCTGCTTAACATTCCAAATGTGAATATATAATTTTAGGGCTCTGTATGATCCCTTAAATAAAATCTCTTTTTTTAAGACAGAGTCTCTCCCTCTGTCGCCCAGGCTGGAGTGCAGTGGTGTGACCTCAGCTCACTACAACTTTCACCTCCCGGATTCAAGCGATTCTCACGCCTCAGCTTCCAGAACAGCTGGGATTTCAGGTGTGCACCACCACACCCGGCTAATTTTTTTGTATTTTTGGTAGAGACAGGGTTTCGCGATGTTGGCCGGGCTAGTCTCAAACTCAAAGTAAACTTGCAATTTTCCCCGCCTCAGCCTCCCAAAGTGCTGGGATTACAGGCATTAGACACTGTACCATGCCAAATAAAAACTGTTTACAATAGTTGTAAATTACCTGAACCTCCCCTTCACTACCTCCATCAATGCAGAAAAACTACAATTGGAAAGCTTTTCAGTGAGAGAAAGAACTTGTACCTACAAATTACAGAGAAAAAAAATTATAATGGGGGAAGGGGGAATGGGATAGACAGAATTAAGTCCATACAAGTAAATAGAAAATGTCTGGCTGGGTGCAGTGGCTGATGTCTGTAATCCCAGTGCTTTGGGAGGCCAACAAGGGAAGGTCACTTGAGGCCAGGAGTTCAAGACCAACCTGGGAAACACAGTGAGGCCACAGCACTACAAAAAAATAAAAAACTTAGCTGAATGTGGTGGCGCAAGCCTGTATTCCCAGCTACTCAAGAGACTGAGATGGGAAGATCCCTTGAATCCAGGAGTTCACGGCTACAGTGAATTATGATCACACCGCTAAATTCCAGTCTAAGTGACAGAGCTAGGCCCTGTCTCTTTACAAAAAAAGAAAAAGGAAAAAGAAAAGAAAAAAAGAAAATGTTTCAAATGGCCAAAGGAAACTTGCAATTTAAGAGAAGGTTGACTGTTCTAAAGATTCTTCAGCCAAAGAAAAAGAGAGAGAGAAAAAGAGAGACAAACCACCCAGATTGTAAAACTTTTCTGAGCTAGATCATATTCTGTGTCATCACTTGGCAGAAGAGATAGGTTCTGAACTCAAGGGCTCAAATGACCTTTCAAAGTCTCTTCAGGCTATATGGGCCACAGTGTTTCAACGCAAAATTACTTGTGGCAATATAACCAGAGGATTCATTTTTCTCCTACTTTAAAATATTAACTCTTCAAAGCTTTGTACAAAGCCTCTAATTTTCTAATTTATAATACTAATTTTCCTTTCTTTTAGAGATAGAGTCTCGCTCTGTCGCCCAGGCTGGAATCTAGTGGTGCAATCAAGGCTCACTGCAGCCTTGAGCTCCTGGGCTCAAGCTCCTCCTGTCTCAGCCTCCCAAGTAGCTGGAATTACAGGCACAAGCCACCTGTCCAGCTTGACACTAATTTTCAAGCTAGCAAAGTTCTCCCAGAAGAACTAAGTCCACTGTCGTTCATTTTTATGTTTTTTCATATGATTTCTTCTAATTTTTTTTTTTTTTTTTTTTTTGGAGGGGGACAGAGTCTTGCATCTTGCTCTGTCGCCCAGGCTAGAGTGCAGTGACCTGATCTCAGCTCACTGCAACCTCCGCCTCCCAGGTTCAGGCACTTCTCCTGTCTCAGCGCCTGAGTAGCTGGGACCAGAAGCACATGCTACCATGCACAGCTAATTTTTGTATTGTATTTTTAGTAGAGACAGGGTTTCGCTGTGTTGGCCAGGCTGGTCATGAACTCCTCCTGACTTCAAGTGATTCGCCCACCTTGGCCTCCCAAAGTGCTGGGATTACAGGCATGAGCCACCGCTCCCAGCCTGATTTTTTCTAATTTTTAAGAAACAGGGGCTCCCCCTCCCCCTCCCCCTCCCTCTCCCTATCCCTCTCCCCACGGTCTCCCTCTCCCTCTCTTTCCACGGTCTCCCTCTGATGCCGAGCCGAAGCTGGACTGTACTGCTGCCATCTCAGCTCACTGCAACCTCCCTGCCTGATTCTCCTGCCTCAGCCTGCCGAGTGCCCGCGATTGCAGGTGCGCGCTGCCACGCCTGACTGGTTTTTGTATTTTTTTGGTGGAGACGGGGCTTCGCTGTGTTGGCCGGGCTGGTCTCCAGCTCCTAACCGCGAGTGATCCGCCAGCCTCAGCCTCCCGAGGTGCCGGGATTGCAGACGGAGTCTGGTTCACTCAGTGCTCAATGGTGCCCAGGCTGGAGTGCAGTGGCGTGATCTCGGCTCGCTACAACCTCCACCTCCCAGCCACCTGCCTTGGCCTCCCAAAGTGCCGAGAGTGCAGCCTCTGCCCGGCTGCCACCCCATCTGGGAAGTGAGGAGCGTCTCTGCCTGGCCGCCCATCGTCTGGGACGTGAGGAGCCCCTCTGCCTGGCTGCCCAGTCTGGAAAGTGACGAGCGTCTCTGCCCGGCCGCCATCCCATCTAGGAAGTGAGGAGCGCCTCTTCCCGGCCGCCATCCCATCTAGGAAGTGAGGAGCGTCTCTGCCCGGCCGCCCATTGTCTGAGATGTGGGGAGCACCTCTGCCCCGCCGCCCCGTCTGGGATGTGAGGAGCGCCTCTGCCCGGCCGTGACCCCGTCTGGGAGGTGAGGAGCGTCTCTGCCCGGCCGCCCCGTCTGAGAAGTGGGGAGACCCTCCACCTGGCAACCGCCCCATCTGAGAAGTGAGGAGCCCCTCCGCCCGGCAGCCGCCCCATCTGAGAAGTGAGGAGCCCCTCCGCCCGGCAGCCGCCCCATCTGAGAAGTGAGGAGCCCCTCCGCCCGGCAACCACCCCGTCTGGGAAGTGAGGAGCGTCTCTGCCCGGCAGCCACCCGTCCGGGAGGGAGGTGGGGGGGTCAGCCCCCCGCCCGGCCAGCCGCCCCATCCGGGAGGTAAGGGGCGCCTCTGCCCGGCCGCCCCTACTGGAAAGTGAGGAGCCCCTCTGCCCGGCCAGCCGCCCCGTCCGGGAGGGAGGTGGGGGGGTCAGCCCCCCGCCCGGTCAGCCGCCCCGTCCGGGAGGTGAGGGGCGCCTCTGCCCGGCCACCCCTACTGGGAAGTGAGGAGCCCCTCTGCCCGGCCGCCACCCCGTCTGGGAGGTGTACCCAACAGCTCATTGAGAACGGGCCATGATGACAATGGCGGTTTTGTGGAATAGAAAGGGGGGAAAGGTGGGGAAAAGATTGAGAAATCAGATGGTTGCCGTGTCTGTGTAGAAAGAAGTAGACATGGGAGACTTTTCCTTTTGTTCTGTACTAAGAAAAATTCTTCGGCCTTGGGATCCTGTTGATCTGTGACCTTACTTACCCCCAACCCTGTGCTCTCTGAAACATGTGCTGTGTCCACTCAGGGTTAAATGGATTAAGGGAGGTGCAAGATGTGCTTTGTTAAACAGATGCTTGAAGGCAGCATGCTCCTTAAGAGTCATCACCACTCCCTAATCTCAAGTACCCAGGGACACAAACACTGCGGAAGGCCACAGGGTCCTCTGCCTAGGAAAACCAGAGACCTTTGTTCACTTGTTTATCTGCTGACCTTCCCTCCACTATTGTCCTATGACCCTGCCAAATCCCCCTCTGTGAGAAACACCCAAGAATGATCAATAAAAAAAAATAAAAAAAAAGAAACAGGGAAATTTACATAAAAATGTTTCATACCATGATACAAGTAAATTCTAAATTTAAAACTTTTTCAACAAAGTAAGTAGGCAAAAGGTTTGTAAACTACACTTACTATTCAATAAAGCCATCAAAAAGTCACTAAATGGCAACAACTTTATTATTTATTTATAATAACTAGTAGAGAGGCAGCATGGTTCAGTTTACTAACAAAAGAACAGGCTCTGTGATCAGTTTAATGTGTGCCTGTGGGCAAATCACTCAACATCTTTACACCTGCTTCTTCGACCATAAAAAGGGAAAAATGTTGCTGACCTGCCTCAAAGGGATGTTATTAGATATAACTAATGATTATGGAACTTTAAAAACGTAATGTGCCATATAACTGTACGGTTAAAGAATTCCTTATAAACTATATATTCTGACTTTGAGCATATGCTGGGGACACTTCCTATAGAGATCCATTCCAAAATTAACGTGTTTTTGATTTTGTTTTTAAAACGGGGTCTTGCTCTGTCACCTAGGCTGGAGTACAGTGGCTGCAATCACAGCTCCACTGCAGACTTGACATCCTGGGTTCAAGCAATCCTCCCAGCCTCAACTTCCTGAGTAGCTGGAAATACAGTCACAGGCCACCACTCCTGGCTATTTTAAAACTTTTTTGTAGAAGCAGGGTTTTGCCACATTGTCCATGCTGGTCTCAAACTCCTGGGTTCAAGTAATCCACCCATATCAGCCTACCAAACTGCTGGGATTACAGGTATAAGCCACCGCACCCGGCCCCCAAAATTAACCTGTCTAATCAATGCTAACAGGGATCCCAAAGAACAGCATAAGCTTTTTTAGAACCAGCCATATAGCACAGGGATGCTCCCTCACTAATCCTCATAGATTACCTTTTAGTAACAATGTCATGCAATGATATTTAACAGTTGGTGGCTGCAATAATTCACAGGGCAAGAGTTCAAGACCAGCCTAGGCAACATAGTGAGACCCCATCTCTAGAAAATATAAAAAATCAACCTATGGTGACCCACACCTGTAGTCCCAACTACTCGAGAGGCTGAGGTGGGAGGATCGCTTGAGCCCAGAAGGTCAAGGCTACAGTGAGCCGTGATTGTACTGTGCACTCCAGCCTGGGTGACAGAGCAAGACCCTGTCTCAAAACAATAATAATAATAATAATAATAATAATAATAATAATAATAATAATTCATAGGACTATAAGAAGCTTTGTATATATAATAGGTACTGGGACTATTTGCCACCTACTAGTACTAGGCATCCAAATAAGTTAACAATACTTACTGAAGGCCAGGCACAGTGGCTCACACCTGTACTTTGGGAGGTCGAGGCAGGCAGATCACTTGAGGTCAGGAGTTTGAGACCAGCCTGGCCAACGTGGCAAAACCCTGTCTCTAATAAAAATACAAAAATTAGCTGGGTGTGATGGCACGGGACTGTAGTCCCAGCTACTTGGGAGGCAGAAACATGAGAATCTCTTGAACCCGGGAGGCAGAGGTTGCAGTGAGCCAAGACTGTGCCACTGCACTCCAGCCTGGGCAACAGAGCAAGACCCTGTCTCAAAAACAAAAAACAAAACAAACAAACAAACAAACAAAAACAGTACCTACTGAATACTAAGCACTGCTACATACCTGCAAAACTTAAAGAAACATACCGGTGCCCTATATAAATTATTTGGTTGTAGAAAAAATAACATGTTGAATGCAAATAAAATCTTACTAAAGCCATCAAGAAGAATGACACAGACTTGTGTAATATGTACTGATATAGAAGAATGTAAAAGAAAATTATGGGCCAGGCATGGTGGCTCACGTCTGTAATCCCAGCACTTTGGGAGGCCGAGGCAGGCAAATCACGAGCTCAAGAGATCAAGACCAGCCTGGCCAACATGGTGAAACCCTGTCTACTAAAAATACAAAAATTAGCTGGGCGTGGTGGCGCGCACCTGTAGTTCCAGCTACTCAGGAGGCTGAGGCAGGAGAACTGCTTGAACCCGGGAGGCAGAGGTTGCAGTTAGCCAAGATCGTGCCACCACACTCTAGTCTGGTGACAGAGCGACAGTCCGTCTCAAAGAAAAGAAAAGAAAAGAAAATTACGAACAATATGCATAGCATAAGCCCATTTCAATACAGTCAAACATAACAAAATAAATACTCATGTTTGATTCATATGTGCAAAGAAAAAGGTGTGGAAGAATACACCCAAAAACTGTTGAATCAAGTTACCAGGAAGTAAGACTTCTACTGTCCACTGAATACTACTATGTAATTTTTAATGTTTACAGAAAATCTTTATTGCTTTCATAATAAAAATTTCTTTAATTTTGCTAGAAGAACTAGTTTAGAAAAATATTTCTCCAAGTTAGAGCAAAGCACGAATAGGTGACTTACTAAATGCCAAAAGCTCTCTGGCTTGCCTTTAAAAAAAACAACAACACTTTAGCAAAGAATATTCAGATTAAAAAAAACAGAAATGGGGCTGGGCGTGGTGGCTCCCACCTGTAATCCTAGCACTTTGAGAAGCCAAGGCAGGCGATCACCTGAGCTCGGGAGTTTGAGACCACCCTAGGTAACATTACAAAACCCCATCTCTACTAAAATACAAAAAATTAGCCGAGCATGGTGGCGCATGCCTGTAGTCCTAGCTACTCAGGAGGCTGAGGCACAAGAATCGTTTGAACCTAGGAGGCGGAGGTTGCACTGAGCCAAGATTGCACCACTGCACTCCAGCCTGGGATGCACAGCAAGATTCTGCTTCAAGAAAAAGAAAAGAAAAGAAAAGAAAAGGGTTCTTTGATGAGGTATCCTTATCAAGATAAAACTGAAAATGTGAAAAGTTGAATTTTTGAGATGCAGTCTCATTCTATCACCTAGGCTGGAGTGCAGTGGTGCGATCTCAGCTTACTGCAATTTCCACTTCCCGGGTTCAAGAGATTCTCCTGCATCAGCCTCCCAAACAGGCATACCACCATGCCTGGCTAATTTTTATATTTTCAGTAGAGACAAGGTTTCACCATGTTGGCCAGGCTGGTCTCAAACTCCTGACCTCAAGTAATCTGCCAGCCTCAAACGCCCAAAGTGCTAGGATTACGGGCATGACCCACCGTGCATGCCTAAGTTGAATTTTTTTTTTTTATTCTGAAATAGACATAAGCCAAGCTGCTTCACTTAACTTTGACAGCAATAGTGGCTCCTCCGTGTTCAGGCTTGTTCAGCTTTTTTTAACTCCTCTCTGGAGTAGAGACTCGGGTTTAGCAGGGCTCCTACAGTCATTCGCCCTACCTGCCTAGGCTGCCCATGCTAGATCAGCTTCAGGTGGCTGACTACACCACATCAGAACAGTATTCTGATCAAGAAATGAAAACAATTTTTGCCATACATAAAAGGCTATACAGATGGATGCTTATCCAGAAAATAAGTATCTTCAGTAGTTCACCTAATCCATAAATAACCCTCTAGGCTTGGAAGTAAAATTTACTTTTCCCTTACAAGGAAAGACGGGAGCAAATTAGGAGAGAGGAGATGTATTATATTTACTAAGAGAAGCTTCTGCATCAGTAAGTACCAGGAAAATAAAGGTTAGACATGAGAGCAAAGAGTTCTTGGAATAAAGAAATCTGGTTATCACCTTCTACTAAACATTCTGTTTTTAAGGATTTCAGAAGGAAAGAATAACAGATTTAAGGCTTAATCACAAAACTGCAACTTCAAAATTAACTTTTAAAAGACCAGAGTCAATCTATCTCCCCGAAAGCCTACTTAAACTCATAAGAATCTGCACATTCTTTCTACCGAACTAATAATAATAGCTACAATGTATTGAGAACTTACTATGTAGTAAATCCTACTACATTTAGTCACCCCAAACAACCCCATGAGGCAATTACTGTAAGCATTTCGTATTTTAGATGAGGACACCAGTCTTCTTGGAAAGTTTAAGAAAAACTGCCTACACTCTGGTAAGCAGGAGTGGCAATTCAATCCCAAACAGTCTTGATTAAAAGAATCCTCACTCTATCAGCTTATTTAAAAAAAAACAAGACAGGCTTCCTCTAATAATACAACTGCCACGTACTAACTGCTCAGAACTATGCCAAGCACAGTGTAAAGCATTTTAAATATGGTATTTCATTTCATATTTACACAACTTTACAAGGTAGCTGTTATTATTCTCATTTTACAAAAATTGAAACTGATGTTTACTTTCATTTCAAAAACAGTAACTTTACCCAAACCTCAGCAGCCAAGTAAAGGACATAAAAAGGACTGGAAATAAGACCACTGACTTTCCAAGCCATATGCTCTTAATCATGAAGCTACAATGTTTACTGGGCACTTTAAACAAAGACAGTTTTCACAGTCATATTCAAGCAGTAAATTAAGAGAGGGGACAAGTAGATTTACCAAGAAAAGCTTCTGCATCACTAAGTAGCAGGAAAAGAAAGGTTAGAAACAACAGCAAGGTTCCTGGAATAAAGAAATCTGGTTTATATTTAATTTACATATAAATTATCTTAAATGATATATAACAATATATATAACATTTTACTATCAGTAAAATATGTTTATAAATACGTATTTATATATATTTCGGTATATACATTATTTTGGCTATCAATATAAAGTAAATCCTTTCTTTAAATACCACTTGCTCAAAGGTTTTAGTTTATAATCTTCATTTGCTATTGAAGTGCATTGTTAAAATATGATGTTCAATGAAACTTACTAAAGTTATCAATGACTATGTTCTCATAAGCAATTATACCCTGAAATCAAAAGGTTATCAATTAGCAGATAGCATTAATAGAACTTTTATATAGGATTTCAGATATTCTAGTTGTCACATTGCCAAAAATTTATCTATAAACTAGAGAAAAATGGCTTAAATGAGAAAAGTCTACATATAAAGTATCTGTCCCATTGTCCAGGCCAGGCTTGGTGGCTCACATCTGTAATCCCAACATTTTGGGAGGCCAAGGTGGGAGGATCACCTGAGCTCAAGAGTTCAAGACTAGCCTGGGCAAGATAAGGAGACCCCGTCTCTACCAAAAATACAAAAAAATTTAGCGAGGCATGGTGGTGTGCATTATTTGTAGTCTCAGCTACTTGGGTGACTGAGGTAGGAAGATCACTTGAGCCCAGGAGCTGGAGGCTGCAGTGAGCTATGATTGCGCCACCGCACTCCAACCTGGGCCGCAGAACAAGGCTATGTCTCCAAAAAAATAAATTATCTGTCCCACTGTCCAAGATATAGTGTAAGTAATCTCACACATTTTAATGGTATAAACCTACTGCCTAATTATTATTCTCTTAATTGATGACAGGTAAATTTGTAACTTAAAAGTGATATACCCTATTTTCTTCCTTATAAATGTAAATTTGTAACTTTAAAGTGATACACCCTATTTTCTACCTTATAAATCAGTAATAATGGCCCAGAGAATTAGCCCGTTCTACCACCTTACTATCAACACTAACATTAATCTGGAAAGACATTAGTTACAGGGATGTTGAATTCTATACTTACGTCTAACTGTATCCTAAAGCTAAGCATATCTGGTTATTCACAGTTAGATACTATTCTTGCCTTAGATAACCCGATTAGAGTAAATAATTGAATATGCAAAAGGTAAGAGTAAGCATATACTAACATTTGTAATAAATAGTTTCATAAATAATATCCAATGTGCCATGGTGGTGTGCACTTACAGTTCCAGCCACTAGAGAGGCTGAGGCAGAAGGATCACTCAAGCCTAGGAGTTCGAGACCAGCCAACGCAACATACCAAGACTCTGATCTCATAAATTAAATTAAATTAAATTAATAAATAATCCCAATTTGCTACAGACTACAATTCCAGATTTCCAGGAAATTATTTTGGAAATTATTTTATAAAATGTTTCCATGGATCAAAGGCTAGTTATAAATTTAAAAAATTCAAATTCTTCTTAGGAATTCAACGAGGTAAACATTTCAAGCAATTCACATTGAGTATCCCTAACTCAAAAATAAGTGGGGTGCAGTGGCTCACACCTGTAATTCCAGCACTTTGGAAGGCTGAGGCGGGCGGATCACTTGAGGTCAGGAGTTCGAGACCAGCCTGGCCAACATGGTGAAGCCTCGTCTCCACTAAAAATACAAAAAATTAGCCAGGTGTTGTGGCACACGCCTGTAATCCCAACTACTCTGGAAGCTGAGGCAGGAGAATCACTTGAACCCAGGAGCCAGAGGCTGCAGTAAGCCAAGATCGCACTACTGCACTCCAGCCTGGGCGACACAGCAAGACTTCGTCTCAAAAAAATAATAATATATTTATATAAGGCTGGGCACGGTGGCTGATGCCTATAATTCCAGCACTTTGGGAGGCTGAGGCAGGAGGATCACCTGAGGTCTGGAGTTCGAGAGACCAGCCTGGCCAACATGGCGAAACCTCGTCTGTACTAAAAATACAAAAATTAGCCAGGTGTGGTGGCAGGCGCCTGTAATCCCAGCTACTTGGGAGGCTGAGGGAGAAGAATCGTTTGAATCCGGGAGCCGAGTGTTGCAGTGAGCTGAGATCGCACCACTGCACTCCAGCCTGGGTGACAGAGCAAGATTCTGTCTCAAACAACCAAACAAAAAAACAAGATACAGATATACATATACATACGTAAAACACAAAAAATCAGAAATGCTACAAAAACTGAAACTTTTTCAGTGTTCATGTTACACCAAAGGGAAATGCTCACTGGAACATTTTGGATTTTCAGATTTGGGATGTTCAAATACTAAGCATATAAATGCAAATATTCCAAAATCTGAAAAAATCCCAAATATTTCTGGTCCCAAGCATTTCAGGTAAGTGATACTCAACCTGATTAAGCATTTCACCTAAATGTTAACATTTCAGAAACAATATAATAAAAATTTTTTTCTGATTCTGCAATGATTTAAGCAAAAATAAATTTGAAAATAAAATGAACAGTGACTAGTTGATTACTTTTTCTTTAATGGTAAAAGTAGAAGGATATAGAAACAACTCTTCCTATTAAATAGATTAGCAGCAGATCAGTCAACAGATGATACCACAGAGCTGTGTTTCTTAACATTTGTACTGTGGGTTTCATCAAGAATCTGATGAAAGCTATCTATGGCTCCTCTCCTCTGAAGCCTACACTTGGACTTTCTGAGTAATATATGAGCAAGCGTTAATTAAGGAAAGGGGAAACTATGCTCAGAGTAAGCCAAGTATTGTTTTAAAACTTTTCCCTTTTTGACTCTTTCATTATGTCCCTTGCTTCTATTAACCAGCTTAAAATAACAGCCACTATGGTAAGGTGAACATGAAGATAGTTTGTCTATGCTGACCTTAGTAGACCTGCTTTTTATTTTCTAGTAAACTGTTTATATACTTCCATAAACTCATTTTTTTCTTCCCCAAATCTGAATGCTGTCTCCAATTTTAGAACGAAAATTATGATTTCTAAAAGCACATTATTTTCTACGGAAACCTTGAATACCAGAGTTTCCTGTACTCCTAAGAGATCCAAAGAGCCAGGAATTTCTACCTGTTTTGTTCCCTGACATATTCCAACTGACTAGAACAGAGACCAATACATAATAAGTATTCAATAAATATTGAATTAATTTTTTAAATGTCCAACTCCTTGGTGGCCACTTGCCACAACACAAAATACATGAAGTTAAATACTCAGCACTCCCCAGGTTATCACACAGGTAATATTAGTACCCTAAGAACTGAAAGGTCCACTCCCAGGACCCAAGAGAATTAAAAATACATGTTCGCACAGAAACTTACATACAAATGCTCATAGCAGCATTACTCACAATAAGCAAAAAAGCAGAAATAACCCACATGTCCTCCAAATAAGTAGACTGACAAAATGTCGTATCTTCATAAGATGGACTATTATTCAGCAATAAAAAAGAGCATAGTATTAACACTTGCTACTCCTTTTTTTTTTTTTTTTTTTTTTTTTTGAGACGGAGTCTTGATCTGACACCTAGGCTGGAGTGCAGTGGCGCCATCGCAGCTCACTGCAACCTTTGCCTCCCAGGTTCAAGCAATTCTCTGCCTCAGCCTCCTGAGTAGCTGGGATTACAGGCGCCCACCACCACACCCGGCTAATTTTTTTATTTAGTACAGATGGGGTTTCACCATCTTGGCCAGGCTGGTCTTGAACTCCTGACATCGTGATCCACCCACATCGGCTTCCCAAAGTGCTGGGATTACAGGCGTGAGCCATCGCGCCTGGTCAACACTTGCTACTTCTTTCACTTATGGGAAGTAAAAGAAATCAGACACAAAAAGGCCACATATGTATTACAGGATTCCGTTAACAGAAAATGCCCAGAATACGCAAATCCTTATAGACAGAAAGTAAATGCTAAGCTCAGTGTCTGAATCTTGTAATCCCAGCACTTTGGGGGCCAATGCAAGAGGATCACTTGAGCTCAGGAGTTCCAGACCAGGCTAGGGAACATAGTGAGACTTCACTACTACAAAAAATTCCAAAATTTGCTGGGCATGGTGGCGCACACCTGTAATCCCATCTACTTGGGAGCTGGAGGCAGGAAGATCGCTTGAACCCAGGAGGTCGATGCTGCAGTGAGCCATGGTCGAGCCACTGCACTCCAGCCTGGGTGACAGAATCAAAACTCTTCTCAAAAAAAAAATTTAGATTAGTTACTGGAGGGATAAAAGAAAGGGAGAACAGTGAATGACTGCTAATGGATAAGAAGTTTCTTGTTGGGAATTTGGAAATGTTCTGGAGTTAAATAGCAGTGACAGATAGCTAGGGATAAGTAACGTGCCTGAAGTCTCAGCTACTCAGGAAGTTGAGGGGGAAAGATCACTTGACCACAAGAGTTCAAGGCCAGCCTAGGTAACACAGCAAGACCTCATCTCTAAAAAAACAAACAAAAGAAATTAACAAAAAAGTTTTCAAAAGATAGTAGTGATGGATGCACAAACTTGTGAAAATACTAGAAATTTATGAACACTTTAAAAAGGTGAATTTGGTGAGGCGCGGTGGCTCATGCCTGTAATCCCAACACTTTGGTAGGCCAAGATGGGAGGATCATTTGAGCCCAGGAGTTCAAGACCAGCCTGGGCAACACAGTGAGACCTCCACAGAAAATTTAAAAGTTAGCTGGGCATGGTGCCGTGCACCTCTGGTCCCAGCTACCTGGGAGGTTGAAGCAGGATCACATGAGCCCACTGAAGATCAAGGCTGCAGTGAGCTGTGATTGCGCCACTACACTCCTGCCTGGGCAACAGACTGTGGCCATGTCTCAAAAAAAATAAAATAAAAGGGTGAATTTTATGGTATGTGAATTATATCTCATTTTTTTTAATTAAAAAAACAAGTGAAAGGATTGCTCAACTCAATGTTCACTGCTCACTGAGAAGGCTAAGATTTGACAATGCCTTCATGGTCATACTCAGTTCCAAGAATCCCATCTACCAACTAATCACAGCAAAAAGACTTTTTTAAAAAAAGGGAGGACGGCCAGGTGCAGTGGCTCACACTTTGGGAGGCCAAGGCGGGCGGATCACTTAAGGTCAGGAGTTCAGAACCATCCTGGCCAACATGGTGAAACCCCATTGCTACTAAAAACACAAAAAAAAAGGCCGGGCGAGGTGACTCACACCTGTAATCCCAGCACTCTGGGAGGCCGAGGCAGGTGGATAACAAGGTCAGGAGTTTGAGACCAGCCTGGCCAACATGGTGAAACCCCGTCTCTACTAAAAATACAAAAATTAGCCAGACATGGTGGCACATGCCTGTAGTCCCAGCTACTTGGGAGGCTGAGGCAGGAGAATCGCTTGAACCTGGGAGGCAGAGGTTGCAGTGAGCCGAGATCGTGCCATTGCACTCCAACCTGGGTAACGAGCGAAACTCCGTCTAAAAAAAAAAAAACAAAAAATACAAAAAAAATTAGCCAGGCGTGGTGGCAGGTGCCTGTAATCCCAGCTACAGGGGAGTCTGGGGCAAGAGAATTACTTAAACTCGGGAGACAGAGGCTGCAGTGAGCCGAGATCACATCACTGCACTCCAGCCTAGGCAACAGAGAGAGGCTCCGTCTCAAAAGAAAAGGAGGGAGGGCACTTGTGGGAGGACATACATGTGCAAGTTGCAGTAAGTAGAATTTTCCCTTCACACCCAATCCATTGAAATCCAATCATCCCCATCTTCAAATATATTCCCAATACTACTATTTCTCCTCACCACCATCTCTCCCCAGGACTAGCTTGACAGCCTTCTGACTGATCTCCCTACTTCCACTCTTGTGTTCCCATGATCTGTTCGAACCCATGATGTGTTCACTACCCAGCAGTCAAACATTTTTGAAAATGTTTATCACATCACTTCACTCAACACCCTTCAAAGGGTTCCTAACACATTCAGATTTTACTCAAGTCCTTACCATGTCCTATAAGGCCCTACAATTGTACTGGCCCTTTGTGACCCTCTCTGACCTCCTCTCCTACCACTCCAGCCCTGATGGCCTTAATGTTCCTTAAATGTATCACACTCAAACATGCCAAGCACACTCCATCTCAGGGTATTTGCACTTGTTTTCTGCAGGGAATGCTCCTCCCCCAGAAACCTGAATGGCTCACTCTATCACTTGTTTCACAGCACACTTAAATGTCATCTCGAAAAGGCCCTCCATTATCACCTAATCTAAAGTAACCCACCCTCTGTCACTCTAACCTCTTATTCTGATTCCGTATCATTTCTCTTCAAAGCACTTAGCATTATTTTTTTTCTTAACGTGTGTCCACCATAGTAGAAAGTAAACTCCACGAGGGTAAGAACTCTTGTTCTATTCACTGCTGCATCCTCAAAACCCAGAACAATGTCCGGTACAAGGAAAGTACACAATGTGTTCAATGACTGAATTCACTGGCTGACTTGGCAAAAACATTCTTCAGTGACATAGGTACTCACCTAGTATTTTTTTTAATTACAATAAACAAAGATTTAGCAATTTGGACAGAAAACATGTTAGTATTTTACAAGATTACCTATTCATCTAAAGGACCACAAATTTATAGCACAAAATTTGCCATGTTATGGATCTTAAATCCCTTCAAATATCATAGATATGAGGTTAACATTCACACCAGATTAACCAAGCCTCTGACTTCATCCTACCTACTTACTCTTACATCTTAACTAGCAGGTCCAATGACAGCATGCTTCAAATGACAGTAACATCTATCTAATTTCCTAAGAAAAAAACCTCCATCTTCTTCCTACCCCAGGATGAGTTACTAGGTCCTGAATTCTACTTCTTTTAAGACAGACTCTTGCTCTGTCGCCCAGGCTGGAGTGCAGTGGCGTGATCTCGGCTCACTGCAAGCTCCGCCTCCCAGGTTCGCACCATTCTCCTGCCTCAGCGTCCTACAGGCGCCCGCTACCAAGCCTGGCTAATTTCTATTTTTTGTATTTTTTTAGTAGAGACGGGGTTTCACTGTGTTAGCCAGGATGGTCTCAATCTCCTGACCTCATGATCCACCCACCTCAGCCTCCCAAAGTGCTGGGATTACAGGTGTGAGCCACTGTGCCCGGCCCTGAATTCTACTTCAAAAAGGCTCAGATCTATCCTCTCTGCTCCACTTCCAATGCATTAGTTCAGGCCCTTATTCATTTTCCACTTGGACTTCTTACCTGGAATTTCCATCCTTACATTCAGCTCTCCCCTTGTTTTTGCAGTGGCCTGATCTCAGCTCACCGCAACCTCCAGCTCCTGGGTTCAAGCAATTCTCAACAACTTTCAATGGTTCCATGTAGTTTTCAAGAAAAAATTTTTTTTTTTTTGAGACAGAGTATTGCTCTTGTCACCCAGGCTGGAGTGCAATGGCATGATCTCGGCTCACTGTAACCTCCACCTCCCGTGTTCAAGCTATTCTTCTGCCTCAGCCTCCCTAATAGCTGGCATTACAGGCTCACACCACCATGCCCTGCTAATTTTGTATTTTTAGTAGAAACAGGGTTTCACCATGTTGGCCAGGCTGGTATAGAACTCAGGTGATCCACCTGCCTCAACCTCCCAAAGTGCTGGGATTACAGGTGTGAGACACCATGCCTGGCCAAGAAAATTTTCGACTCCCTCACTCAGCTTCATCTCCCACCACTGCCCTTTTATTCCTACCCAAACATATCATGCTTTAAGTTAATTCAGTCACACCAAATTACTTACAGTTTCCAGATACTTCACCTTGTTTCGTTCATTTTCCAGTACGTTATCCTCTATCTGAAAAACTTTTCTTCCCTTCTTTGCCTAGCAAAAGCCTTCGCACTCAGCTTAGATGTCAACTCCACCAGAAAACTTTCCATAGCTCTCTGATTTAGCTGTCCTCTTCTGTCCTCTCATAGCATTTCCTACAATTATTTTATGTTGGAATACTCATAAATAGATATGCTAGGAGTTTTGCTTTATTTATCTGCATCTTCTGCTACACTGTGGGCTCCCTGAAAGCAGGTCAGATGCCTCACCCACCTTCATTCTATATTACCTGATATATGAAACGGGTTGTTGTTAAATGAATGACTTATGAAAGGGGTGAGACAGAAGGAAGAGGGGGAAGGAAAAGAACAGAGAGGGGGGAACGAACTGACAGAGTGGATAGGGAGACAAACAAAGGTAGAGGTAGGGGGAGAGAGAGAGAGAACATGTACACACACACAGGGCATTAAAAAAGGGAATTTGTAATCAATCCATTATTTTTTCATGTGGCCTAAGCCAATCATTGTTGAAGAAAGAAAAGTACATCTGGAAAATTCAATCTACGTGGATTCTAAATATAACCACCTTTTTTTTTTTTTTTTTCCTGAAATGGGGTCTCCCTGTCACCCAAGCTGGAGTGCAGTGGTGCCATCTCGACTCACTGCAACCTCCACCTCCTAGGTTCAAGCGATCCTACCTCAGTCTCCTGAGTAGCTGGGAATACAGGCATGCGCCACCATGCCCAGCTAATTTTTTTATACTTTTAGTAGAGACGGGGTTTTCATCACTTTGGCCAGGCTGGTCTTGAACTCCCAACCTCAAGTAATCCACCCACCTCAGCCTCCCAAAGTACTGGGATTACAAGCATGAGCCACCATGCCCGCCAAAGTATAATCATCTAAATCATTCCTCCTCTAAAGATTCTGGTATATCCAGCCCAACCAGCCCATTTTAATTGAAAATTTACTGCTACGTAATAAAAGACGTTAATAACATGTACAATATAGATACAGGAAAAAAAAGTTTGAGTTTAAAAAAAGTAAAAATCGGCCGGGCGCAGTGGCTCACGCCTGTAATCCCAGCACTTTGGGAGGCCGAGGCGGGCAGATCACCTGAGGTCAGGAGTTCGAGACCAGCCTGACCAATATGGAGAAACCTTGTCTCTACTAAAAGCACAAAATTAGCCCGGCATGATGGTGCATGCCTATAATTCCAGTTACTCAGGAGGCTGAGGCAGGAGAACTGCTTGAACCTGGGAGGCAGAGGTTGCAGTGAGCCGAGATCGCACCACTGCACTCCGGCCTGGGCAACAAGAGCAAAAGTCCGTCTTAAAAAAAAAAAGTAAAAATCAACCTGACATAATAAAAATAAGTCTTGGAATTATTTACAAACTTTAATAATCTACCACCTCCTTATAATGTGGTACTGCTGATTTTTATTTTATTTTATTTAGTTTTTTTTTTTTTGAGAGAGAGAGTTTCACTTTTTTCGCCGAGGCTGGAGTTCAGTGGCGCAACCTCAGCTCACTGCAACCTCCGCCTCCTGGGTTCAAGCAGTTCTCCTGCCTCAGCCTTCCGAATAGCTGGGATTACAGGTGTGTGCCACCATGCCCAGCTAATTTTGTATTTTTAGAAGAGACAGGGTTTTACTACGCTGGCCAGGCTGGTCTCAAACTCCCTTGACCTCAGGTGATCCTCCTACCTCGGCCTCCCAAAGTGCTGTGATTACAGGCGTGAGCCACCATGCCCAGCCGGCACCACTGATTTTTAAAAGTCTATCAAGAGCATGAAAAATAAATTCAACATAACACCAACATCACGATCTATGTTACAGCACAAATTCCTTATGTATTACGAATCATATTCCTCAAAAACATACTGTGAAAAAAGTAACATAGCATATATTAGACAGTAATGGGAATGTATTTGTTTACATAAATTCTTAAAGGTAGTACATGGGAAAACTGCTAAAACATACAACACTTCAACTTTAAAACAACACCTAAAAAGTATTACTACATAATCTAACTTTCAATCACCTCAATAAACTGTCACTTAATAAAATTTAAAGATTTGTTGTCGTTAATACAACAGACAATTCAAACTTAAAAGCTTGCTCCCAAGTACAAATATGTTTGGTAAGATCCAATAAATGGCATAAAACCTTCTGTAGCTCAATGATCATCGTAATACAGAAATTACACCAGGCACGGTGACTCTCGCCTGTAATCCCAGCACTTTGGGAGGCTAAGGCGGGAGAGTCACCTGAGCCCAGAAGTTCGACACCAGCCTGGGCAACACGGCAAAACCTCATCTCTACAAAAACTACAAAAATTAGCCAGGTGTGCCTGTAGTCCCAGCTACTCAGGAGGCTGAGGTGGGAGGATTATTTGAGCCCAGGAGGCAGCAGTTACAGATCGTGCCAGCCAGGGTGAAATAGTGAGACTCTATATCAAAAAGAAAAATAAAAAAGAACGAAAGAAATTGGGAACACACAGAAAAAGAAACAAAATTTAGGCCTAATACACTCAACATTAAATAGATTCTGAATTGCAATTTTTGCTAAAGCAAAATACAAATTACAAGAAGCTTCTCATCTTTTATCACATAAGAAATAAAGTTGTAAGAAATAAGCTAAGTTTTTAGTACTAATAATTACTAGCAAATTCTCTGAGATTTGCTATACTTATAATAACAGGAAGTACTTGTATGAAGTTAGAAATTTATTTTAGTAACTTTTTCCTTTTAACGTTAAAAGCACCTTTTTAAAAAATGCAGTAGAATGTAATGCTGAGCACTTAAAATTAGTATTTCTAAAAAGATACCAAAAAATTTGCATTTGGCTAGTATTACCAAGAAACTTTTAAGGCTAAAGTTTCCAACATACTTTCATTTTTTTAAACAGACTACTTAAAAAAAAAAAGGAAACGAAAGGAAGAAAAAAAACATTTTAATCTCAGACTTTCAACTTAACTACATTTCTTTTAACCAAACATTTATAGAGCACCTAAGAAGTGACAAGCACTACAACACTGGGAAATGTGACACATTACATTTACTCCAAACTAAACCTTTTATTTATTCGGCTTCTGAACTTATTATTTCTTACTCAAACCAAAACTTTTCTTAAGAAATTCTCACCCAACATCAAGGTACATATACGAGTTACCTAATAAATGCACTTTCACCACTGTTTTACACAGGTGATGAGAGTTATAGCTAGGATTTGTGACTAACAAAAGGGATTCATTCCTGAAACATGTCTATGCTTCATGAAATGAGATAGGAATAAACTGTTTCAGGTAGTTTACAGCATCCCAAACTCAAAGAGAAAACCTTAAAAAAATTAGACTAAACTTAATTACTCTGTATAGTAGACCAAGATTTAAGTAGCCACAGCTTTTACCTTCTACAACCACAAGTATTACAAATTTTAATTTGGATGCAAAATTGTCAAAGCAGTCTTGATTCTGAGGACAAGTGAAATATTTTTTTAAATAGTTCAAAGGAACTGTCAAAAGTAGACAACGTTGATATTCTAACATGCTATCTGTTGCATTTCTACACTTGTGAACACTCTACCCTTTTCAAGCACTTCTGAATTTGTAATGGATGAAAAAATACAAGCTAGTGTCTAAGTTCCACCAGTTGAATCCAGACTTTTCAAAAATCTAAGGTTTTATTCTAGCATGTGTTTAAAAAAAAAAAAGACAGCATTCATATACATATTCTCTCAAGTAACAAAAATACCTGTATTTTTATCGTTATCATTTCTTCCAACAATTAAGCAAATTTTTTGACCCTATTCTCCACTCAGTTAACATATTGACATCTAAGAGGAACCTGGCCATCAGTTTTCCACACATCATAATGCAACAGAGCCTCTGACTTATTTACAGACCAACCAGATCAATAAAGAAAAATAAACCATATAACCCCAAGTCACTGGAAATACAAGAAACAACTGGTATCTCTGAATTGTGTAAAAAATCACAAAAATTCTCTTTTTAAATCTTTCAATTAAATTATTTTTGTGACGAGTCAAAGAGTTTTCTGCTAAAATTTTACAGTACTGTTCACACAATAAATAAGATTCTCTTTCATCAGTGTAACTGATAGAACCACAATACAGTTCAGTTTCTAGGGTCAGATTACCTGACTTGCTTTTTATTTTACCTTTTAAAACACTTTAATTCATGCCGTTATTCCTCTCATTCCCTACAAAAAGAGATGTTCAATATGGGAGAATCATCTTCAGTTGAGACATCCTATAACTGCCTCCAACTCCACAGCAAAGCCCGCCAGCTGACCCCGGTCTCTCTGGGGAAGGGCTCGGTCACCAAGTCACCAAACACACCTTCCTCTGCAAAACTCGGAAGCCCCACACGACGACCTCGTCGAAACCTCCTACTTCCTGAATTCGATAACCCCAGAGATTCGTTTTCCGCAGGCAATCTTACCTTCATGATGACTCTGGGACCAAGGTATCCTCTAAAACACCAGGTTCAGCTGCACCTGGAGGGGAAACAAAAGACACCCAGTCAACACCACAGGAGCCCCTCTGCACTGGCGGAGGCGGAGGGAAAGAAGCGAGCGACGTCCGAACCCCGAAGAAAGAGCCGCAACCAGGCGCCAGCCCCCGAACCATCACACGCCGACTCGGGGCTCCCTCCGGCCCCGCCATCCCCGCAAACCCAACCACCTACACAGCTCGGCAGCTTCCCGTCCCCATTGTCGAGACCCGACGGAGTTTCCCGTCTACGACAATGACGCCATTTCTGTCAGAGAAGAAACTCACAACAAGCCCGGCGTCCGGCGCAGGGCCGGCCGCTCTCCCCTAGGGCCTCGGCGCCCGGCCGAGCGAATCCGCGCCCCCACGCGCCGCGTCCGAGCGAGAGGCCGGCCGGGGGCCACCGAGGGGCCAGGAGGGCCTGTGGGCCGCGGGCAGGACCGGCCCGCCACAGAGCCCCTGCCCACGTCCCGTTCCGGGCTCAGACCCGACAAGTGGGAGCGAGATCAACATCTGGCCCCGCCGCGGGGACAACGTGAGGGCCGAGGGCCCCGGAGGCGGAACGGCCCCCACCCTGCCCGGGCCCCCGACCGCGGCCGCTAAACCGCTGAGTGTGCGGCCGCCCAGCCAGGGGGCGGCTCGGACACAGCGGCTGCGGGGGGTGGGGGTTCCCGGGAGGCCGAGGCCCCGAATTCGGGCGCCGCAGGGACCACCACCGCGATCTTCCTCTGCTCCTTGGCCGGGCCCAGCGACTCCCAAAAGAACCCCCTTAGGAGACCACGAAAGCCCCAGAAAATATCCCTACCTTCCTCGGAGGCGAGATCTGACCCTGGCACGTCCAGAGTCCCCTCTCTCCTTCTCCCCCCCAAAACCAGCAGGCCCGGGGGAGAGATGGGGAAGAAGGGCGGCGGGTCCAGCGGCTGCTGAGGCAGAGGCTCCGGCTCCTCCTCCTCCCGCGGCGGCGACTGGTACCTTTGTTTGGCGGCCGCTCGGGCTCCCTGGTTGGGGGGAGGGGGACGACGAAAAATCCCCCCCGGACTGGAGGTCCGGGCCCCCAATCGCGCTGCCCTCCAGAGGACGGCGGCGATGGACCCTCTGCAGCTCCCTCCGGGCAAAGGTCCAGGCGGTGGCCGTGGCGGCGGCAAGATGAAGCTCAAGAGTCTCCCTCCGCTTCGGCGACCGAGCTCCTCACTCCGGACTCGACTGACGGGCAAACATCGCTTCCCCCCCACCGACTCTAGGTTCCCCCCCTTTCTCCCCTCCCCTAGATTTTTTTTCCCCCCCTCCCCTACCTCTTTCCCGGATGGCCTCTTAGACGACCTTGGATTGGTTAAAGTTCTTTAGAACCCGCCTATACACTGTTCCTATTGGTCCCTGGATACAAACAACGACGCCATTTTCCCACCAGTTCTATGGAAACAGAAAGTTACGCCTCAAGGCTTTCTGGGAAATAAAGTCCATACTCTGGGGCCAACGCGCAAATCCTCGTCCGCGAGAACTGCAAGGCCCGCAATGCCCTGCGCCTGCGTGGACCGGTGCGGGGGCGGGGGGGAGGTGAAAGGGGCGGGGCAACAAAGCAGTAGGGAGGCGGCAACGACGCCTGCGCAGTGTGACCGGGATGGCGCATTTTCTTGCACCAACTAATGCGGTGTCGCTGGCGGCTGAGGAGGGCGGAGAGTTCTGTGGTGAAATAGTGGGAAGGATTCATGTAGGCATCGGGAAGAGCCTAAGTCCACATTATAAAATAGGAAGTTGATGCGGGGTACAGTTACTCCCGGACCGGCGGCGTGAAAGTCGTGATATCATCGTTGAACTGTGAGCGGCAGTGGCGGCGGCTGGGGGGAACCCGGATGGGAAGAAGGGCGGGGGAGGCTGGGAGGCGGGGCAGAGGAAAGAAAGAAAGGAGAGTGAGGACCCGGATGCTGAACCGGATTGTGTATGAATTTTCCATCCCCTAGCTTTAAGCGAGGAGGGAGAGGAAGGGTTGGCCAAGTGGGGCGGAAGGGAGCATCTGAGCGAGGAGGAAGCAGAAACCTCACCGTTTCTTCCCCTCCGGACTCTGTGCTAGCACTGTATACGTTTGCAGTTCTCTGCCCAGCCGCTGTGGAAAATCGGCCTCGAAGTGATTGAAATTCCCTGTTTATATCAGGCGGCTTCTTTCAGATCCATCGTCTTTCTCCCGGAGTATGAATGGAAGGATTCAGTATGCGCTTCACATTTGTATGTCTCTGGCCATTCTCAAACCAGGCCCTTCCCTTTGAAAAGTCTTTTGCATGGGATGTTCACTTCTTAGACGCAAGGTTGTGTGCCCTGGTTTCATCGTCTAACGCGTTAGAAGGCGCTTTCATTTCTTCATGGGTGTTGAGCGCCGACCACTGGGGTGGCCTCTGCCTTCGTAGACCTGCGCCTGGTGAGACGGACAGATGCTGAACAAAACGATGTGAAATTACCGCAGTGGCAGTGCCCCAGAGGAGAGTTCCACGGTGATAGGAGAATGAGGGAATTTGGCTTCTTTAGGGAGGGAAAGGAAGGGTTTCTGAGCAAGTGAGGATCGAGCTGAGAGCTGAAGGGCTAGCAGGAGTTAACTAAGGAAAGAGAAAAGGAAAAGACATTCCAGACAAAAAGACTAACTTGTCAGAAAGCCCTGTGGCGGAAGGGAGCTTTTCCAATATGAAGAACTGAGCCTGGAGAGATGGGATGAGGGGGAGTGTCGAACCTTTTAGGCTTTGTAAAGGAGTTTTGGTTTTCTCCTAATAGCAATGGGATATCTTCCAAGGAATCTCAATCAAAAGGGAGAGATGGCTCCGATTGGAATGTCATCCCTGGCTGAAGAGTAGAGGAAGCGAAAAAAAGAAGAGTTAAAGAGGCAAATGCAGGGAACCCGACGAGGAGGCTATTGCCGTAGTAGTTCACATGGTGAAAAGAATGGAGCGTTTGTATTAATGATTATGGATTCACTCTTTGAACAAATTTCTGGCAGCTTTTTAGTTTTGAAAGTGAGAAGTTTCAGACTCTCACTGAGGTATTCTGTAGTTTTTTCACTCTAAAAGGAAACTAGTAGAGTTCATGTAACACACACTAATGCCTCTTTACATTTAACTTTAGTATGTGATAGCTGAAATTTCCAGCTGTGATAAATTGGGAAATCCTTTGATTTAAAAGAAAAACAAAGGCGGGTGAGGGTGAGAGTATATGCCACGGTGTGTAGAATCCTTTAGACTCTTAAGAAGACACAAGGCGGCTGGGCGTGGTGGCTCACGCTTGTAATCCCAGCACTTTGGGAGGCCGAGGCGGGCGGATCACGAGGTCAGGAGATCGAGACCATCCTGGCTAACACGGTGAAAGCCCGTCTCTACTAAAAATACAAAAAAATTAGCCGGGCAAGGTGGCGGGCGCCTGTAGTCCCAGCTACTCGGGAGGCTGAGGCAGGAGAATGGCGTGAACCCGGGAGGCGGAGTTTGCAGTGAGACGAGATCACGCCACTGCACTCCAGCCTGGGCGACAGAGTGAGACGCTGTTTCAGAAGAAAGACACAAGGCAAGTTGGTTGTCGATACCTGGAAAAATTGAAGTTCTTATGTTTTCATACCACTGAAAATGCTTGTATGTAAATATCCTCTGGGACAGGAAATTGACTTAAGTGAGTATTCTTAAACATCTCTAAGTGAGGAAAGGAAATATTTTTTAAAGCATAATTAGTGTTTTAAGTTGAAAAATAACATCAACCACAAAGCTCTACGAATTGAAACAAAGATTAGCTCTGATTTCTGTGCAACAGGGTACACCTGTTACAGGTCCTGACACAAAAGGGAATTCTGAAAGTGCATCTCATTGATTTTTAAGTTCGGTCAAATGTGTTTTGGAGGCTGTGAGAAAATATACAAACGTGATTCTTGCTCCCAACTTGTAGTTGAGAAAAGATAGATACTAACATTTAAATAGAGAAGTATATGAGATCCTTTTTTAATTCTACTTTTAATGATGTTCGATAATAATCTTTTAGCTAAGCCATTATTCTTCCTGTTTTGCATCTTCTTTTCTTACTTCAATCCCTGATAATAAGGTCACGTGTCAGAGATCAAATAGTATAGGTAATAGGTTACCTAAATAGGTATTTGCATAATAGGTTACCTAACTAAATAGGTTTTTGCCTAATAGGTATGTTGATTATTTCGCTTACTTGATTCTTTATGAGCCTTTTTTTCCTTGCGACGTCTTTGGTATTAATTGTTAGTCAAGATGGATGTAGAAATTTTCCATATGGGATGTTTCTCTTTGAATTCATGTTGTTAAAATGATTTCTTTTGGTGGAGTGCTGATCTTTTTTATGATTGTTTCATATAGATAAGAACAGACTACAAAAAAATATGCCTTTCAATCCTGAAGAGTAACCTGAACTATACACTAGTTTTGTGCTTTAATTTTCATTTGTAATCTGCCTTCAATAAAGAGTTAAGCTAGTGGAATTTATGTCTTAGCTTGTTATAACACAAACACGAATATTTGTCTGCTTGGCATTAAAGGGTAAAGATATTCCATAGCTGGGAATCTTAATCTGAGGTACGTGTAAACATTCAGGGACTATATGATCTCTGAGAATTTGTATGTTGTAAGTCTTTGTGGCAGTGTATACATTTGTGTTGCAACTTATTAACACATACACCGGGCTTTTTTTTTTTTTTTTAGAAGATTCATAGCTTTCATCATATTCTCAAAAGGTTTCTGTGACCCATGAGATGGTTTACAGTATGGGGAAGCATCAAAGCACTTGCACAGTTGATGGTTATATGTGTGTGTTATTATTTCAGCCACCCATTATCATGTGCTTACCAACTGCCTAACAGTGCATACATATGTAGAAGTTTTATTCTTTTCTCCTGTTGCCATATTATACGTCTCATTTCACAGCAGAAAAACAACTGCATGACAGAGACAATGTGGTTCAAACCATTTTACCCTTGTATTCATTGACTGCTACAAAACAGGAACATTAAATACCTGATTGTCACCAAATTGGGTAGTCTCAGCACTTCTACACTCGTAATTGTGCTGGAAAAGTGGAATGCTAGCACTAATAATTAGATTTTGGTTTGGAGGGTTTTTTATTTGTTTATTCTTACTTGTATAAATTTATGGGGTGCAAGTGTAGTTTTATCACATGCATAGATTGCATTGTAGTGAAGTCAGGACTTTTAGGGGGTCCATCACCCATGTAATCACGTTGTACCCATTAAGTAATCTTTCATCATCCACCTCCTTCCCACCTTCTCACCCTTTGGAATCTCCATTGTCTATCATTCCACACTCCATGTCCATGTATACACATTATCTAGCTCCCATTTATAATTGAGAAGATGTACTATTTGTCTTTTATGTCTGACTTGTTACACTTAAGGTAAGGGCTATCCATCCATTTTGCTGCAAATGACATGATTTCATTTTGTTTTAATGGCTGAGTAATCATTCGTTGTATATATACCACATTTTCTTTATTCAGTCATCTGCTGATGGACACTTAGGTTGATTCCATATCTTTACTATTGTGAATAGTGCTGTAATAAACACATAGTGCAAGATTTTGGAAATTTTACTTTTGTGGCACGTTGTTGGTATTTACTCAGGATCTTTGGATTTGCTTGGCTGCATGTATATGAATCAGTGTGTTTATTTACTGAAATATGTGCAAAAGTCTTGTCTTTGGTGGATTAATTTATAATATAAATCCACAAAAGTCAGATTCTGCTCCTAAGTATATTTTACATTTTTAAATTTAATGCCAGCAAGAAGTTACAGTACTAGAATTGCCTTACCCCTGAGAGTATCAATGATCAGATCATAGTATCAGGTGACTGGGCTATAGAAGATGACTTTTATTACTTAACATTATGAAGTTACTAGGGCTGATTTAGAAATCGAGGAACACTGGTGAAACCCCGTCTCTACTAAAATACAAAAATTAGCTGGGCGTGGTGGTGGGCACCTGTAGTCCCAGCTACTCAGAAGGCTGAGTCAGGAGAATTGCTTGAGCCCAGGAGGCAGAGGTTGCAGTGAGCCGAGATCGTGCCACTGCACTCCAGCCTGGGCGACAGAGTGAGACTCCGTCTCAAAAAAAAAAAAAAAAAAAAAAAAGGAACACATCCTCACTGTTACAATAAATAACAGTAGCCCACACCCCCTTAGTTGTGATGTGGTGTGATACCATGTAAGCAACCTATTTCCAGTTCCCCTAACATTCTCAAGCAGCTGTATCAGAATCATACAAGATGCATATTTAAATTGAAGATTTCTAAGTCTCTGGCCCAGACTTAGAAAAAAAGGATCAGGCCGGGCACAGTAGCTAACACCTGCAATTCCAACACTTTGGGAGGCTGAGGCGGGTGGATCGCCTGAGGTCAGGAGTTTTGAGACCAGCCTGGCCAACATAGTGAAACCCCATCTCTACTAAAAATTCAAAAAATTAGCTGGGCGTGGTGGCAAGAACCTGTAATCCCTGCTATTCGGGAGGCTGAGGCAGGGGAATCACTTGAACCCGGGAGGTGGAGGTTGCAGTGAGCCAAGATTGCGCCACTGCACTCCAGCCTGGGCAACGAGCAAAACTCCGTCTCAAAAAAAAAAAACAAAAGGACCTTTGAGCAATCAGAATAACACAAAGTACATGAACTGAACTTCATTTTCTTCATTCAAAAGAAAGTGGCCCTCACTCAAGCAAATATATTCTTGTGCTTTATCTTCTGGCATACTGAGATAACTTTCTAAAGTGGTTTCCAATTCCAAAATCCAATGATGTGCAACTCATTGAACAGCCCTAACCACAAACTGCCATTAGATGCCATATTACATTTAGCCTTTTTGTTGTAGAAAAGTTGGTTAGAAGTGGGCTCAGGATTCTAAAGACTAAATCATAGTCCCAAGAAGCAAAAGAAAGAGGATAAAAGTAATAAACTTCCCAAAATGTGCCAAAGATGCTAGAGCAGTTAGATTCCTAATATGAGGACAAGTAATAATAGAAACAGATACAAAGAAATAAAGTAGAGATTCAACAGTACAGGGAGACCCTAGGAAGACCATGAGTGTTATTCTAGGAAATACTGAAATAAGACAGATTTCAGTATAAAGGGGAATATGTTTAATAAATATATGCATTTGAGTTAATGCGTATTTTAAATCAGAAATCTCTGAAATGGATTGATTGTAGAGAAACTACTAGGGGGACGAGGAGAATCCCTTTAAATTTTAAATACATAAAACATACTCATCTTAGTGCTCATTTAAAAAAGGATATGTTTACTAATTAGTGTAATCAGTTAAATACAGAGGTATCTTTCCAATTCTTTGGATGTGTTTTGACATTTGCCGTCAACAAATTAAGCCTTTTGTGGTTGATTAAAATAGGAAAAGCTTAATATAAGTTATGTGACTAAGAAAACAACTTAAAAACCAAGACAACACTTTGACCAATATAATCACTTGAATGAAGAATTTTCTAATTGAGATATAATTTACATACCACCCATTTAAAGTGTACATTTCAGCAGTTTTTAGTGTATTCACAGGGCTGTGCAACCATCACAATTTAATTTTATAACATTTTGATCCCTGCGAAAAGAAACCCTGTACTCATTAGCAATTAGTCCCTGTTCCTAACCACTAATCTACTTTCTTTCTCTGTAGATTGGCTTATTCTGAACATTTCGTATAAATGGAATCATACAATATGTAGTCTCTTGAGATTGGCTTCTTTCACTTAACATGTTTTCAAGGCTTCATAGCTGTAGAATCTTGCTTTGTTTTTTTGAGACTGGAGTCACTCTTTCGCCCAGGCTGGAGTGCAGTGGTGTGATCTCAGCTCACTGCAACCTCTGCCTCCCGGGTTCAAGCAGTTCTCCTGCCTCAGCCTCCCAAGTAGCCAGAACTACAGGCACACACCACCATGCTCGGCTAATCTTTGTAGTTTTAGTAGAGATGGTGTGAAGGCTGGTCTCGAACTCCTGACCTCATGATCTACCCACCTCAGCTAATTTTTCATATTTTTAGTAGAGACAAGGTTTTGCCATGTTGCCCAGGCTGGTCTCGAACTCCTGGGCTTAAGCTATCCGCCCGCCTCAGCCTCCCAAAGTGCTGGGATTACAGGCGTGAACTACCGTGCCCAGCAACAGAATCTTCTTTTTAAACCAGACTAGGTGTCTTTTCACAAACACCCTGCAATACAAATTCCTTTGCAGTTTGACACTGAAAGATGATTAGTTTCATGTGATCTTTATGTTTCTCCTTTTTGACAGATTAGCTTTGAAGTTTAAATCCAATGGAGAAGACTCAAGAAACAGTCCAAAGAATTCTTCTAGAACCCTATAAATACTTACTTCAGTTACCAGGTAATACTTCACTTACAGTCCATATAGGGTCATTTTCATGCAGTAGTGGTCGTTCAAATGTTAGCAAATAGAAAAGGTTAGACTTGCTAGCCGTTGAGATTTTCTATTTAAGGTGATGCGTATGAGAAAAATGATAAATAGAACATTATAATTTTTTCTTTATTAAAAGGTAATTTTTGCCAGGTGCAGTGATACATACCTGTTGTCCCACCTACTTGGGAGGCTGAGGCAGGAGGATGGCTTGAGCCCAGGAGTTTAAGGCTATAGTGCACAATGATCACACCTGTGAATAGCCACTACACTCCAGCTTGGGCAACATAGTGAGACCCCGTCTCTTAAAAAGAAACGTAATTTTTGAAGGCACCCTTTAAAACATATCCAATTATTTAACATATCTTGAAAAATAAAAATACTTAAAACATTTTGGTATCTCATTGGAGGTTGTACTCTTTACGGATATTACGCATTCAGATTCCCCACTGTTTAGATATTAGGGGAAGTTACGCAGATTTGTTTAACAGTAGAACACTTTATTTACCATACATGTTCAAGTTTACCTTCTATGTCTGTATTTTCCAGTATCTCACACATACACTGCATTTCATATACTACTGGTTCCTTTGAGAGCCAAATAATAATGTATCTAAAATCACAGTATTTGGAAATATAGCCCACTTTATTCCTGTATAAGGGTATGCCACCTTGGACATGGCTTCCTACCTCACGTGTACGTGTGTGTTTTTGTTTTATTTTGCTTCTTTAAAAACTTGTCTGGAGGCTGGGCGTGGTGGCTCACGCCTGTAATCCCAGCACTTTTTGAGGCCAAGGCGGGCGGATCATGAGGTCAAGAGGTTGAGACCAGCCTGGCCAACATGGTAAAACCCCGTCTCTACTAAAAACACAAAAGTTAGCTGGGCATGGTGGCGCATGCCTGTAGTCCCAGCTACTCGGGAGGCTGAGGCAGGAGAATCACCTGAACCTGGAAGGCAGAGGTTGCAGTGAGCTGAGATTGCATCACTGCACTCCAGCCTGGCAACAGAATGAGACTCCGACTCAAAAAAAAAGAAGAACTTGTCTGGAAATGATAATAAGCAAAAACTCATGAATATAATAAACAGGGGTTATTGTAATAAAAAATCATTTGTATTAGAATATTCTTTCTCATAGACATAATATAGGCCAGGTGTGGTGGCCCACACCTGTATTCCCAGCACTTTGGGAAGCCAAGGCAGGATTGCTTGAGACCAAAAGTTTGAGACCACCTTGGGCAACATAACAAGTCCCCCTCTCTGTTTTAAACATTTTTTAAAAAAGAAGAAATAATATAAAAGTTGGTAAATTATTTGACAAGCATAAAAACCTATTTAGCCATACTGTGACTAAACTCTAATGATGCTCTCAATTCAGTCTCAATAGACACTTTTAAATTTCCGTGCTAAAGTACACACCTTTCTTTATGAGCACTTCTCTGTGGTAATATGTGCATTTCTGTTCTTCATGAGCCTGGGAAGGATAAAAGCCAAAAGAATGCTTGCTCCTGTGCTACACCTTGGAAACCATAATTAGTGTCATTTTTATTTTGGCCGACCCTAATAGAGACTCGCCTGCTAATGTCAATGCATGAGAAGAATGAGGGAATGACAGAAATGGAGAATTCAAAGGGAAGGTTGCCCACTGTTTAAGAAAAAGCCAAGAGACTGCTTTTGAGTGACATTTATCCAGCAGTTAGTAACTTATTTCAGTATCTCCCAGTGAGAAACATGGCACAGTTTCACTTTCACTCTACCCAGCTCTTACTGCCAGACATCCTTTAGAACACGCTCACAAACACTAGCTGGAACTGGGCTGGCATTAATAGCAAGCCAGTTATCAGTGCTGACAAAAGTCTAACAAGCATCGCTTGAATGTCTCTTACTCTGCTACTTACAAAGCAAGGACTGCCTACAGTTACATTTTAACCATAATGCTTACTTATGCTGTGACCACCTTCTGTGACTTCCTTTTTTTTAATTCTCATTACTTGGAAATAATGTTTTAAGACATTAGATAACATATTTAAAATTATCACTAGGTACCTCACCTTTTTATTCAAGTACGTTCTTGATCCATGATGGAATACAACCTCAAAAGATACTACTAAAGAAATATGACATTGCACTATGCACATAACACACTTATTTTTTTACAGAGAGCTTCAGAGTTACTAAAGTAACTTAGAGGTGTGCCAGGTCATTTATACTGTTGTAATATTACTCTTGCTAATAAATAATAATAATGCTATCAGTATTTTCTGAAGTCAACCTGGCCAACATGGTGAAACCCTGTATCTACTAAAAATACAAATATTAGCCAAGTATGGTAGCGCATGCCTGTAGTCCCAGCTGAGGCACGGGAGTCACAGGAGCCTAGGAGGCAGAGGTTGCAGTGAGCCGAGATCACGCCACTGCACTCCAGCCTGGGCAACAGAGTGAGACACTGTCTCAAAAAAAAAAAAGGATTTTCTGAAATTAGTAAAGAAAATTATTTTTATTTTTAAATTTCTCATACTTGCTGTCATCTTATGTTTATGTTTGTTTATTTGCCTTAGTGTGGGGCCCTAGATGAGGTGAAGGGTGGGATTAGGGAGAGATGAAGCTGGCAGTGGAGGAAGAAGGGCTCCAAAAAGAGAGACAATAATGTTTAGATCTTAAAGAGGAAGCAGTAATCTTTTAATTTTGAGAGATCTCTGTGATTAGCCTCAGTACTAGAAATTATTTTGGAACTCAGCCAGGCGCGGTGGCTCACATCTGTACTCCCAGCACTTTGGGAGACCGAAGTGGGCAGATGGCTTAAGCCCAGGAGTTCAAGACCAGCCTGGGCAACATGGCAAAACCCTGTCTCTACTAAAAATACAAAAAATTAGCCAGGCATGTGATACGCCCTTGTAGTCCCAGCTTACCTGGGGGACTGAGGTGGGATGATTACCGGAGCCTGGGAGGTTGAGGCTGCAGTAAGCCAAGATCACACCACTGCACCCCAGCCTGGGTGATTAAGGGAGACCCCGTCTCAGAAAAAAAAAAGGGGGGGAAACTTAAAAGCATCAGGCTAAACACTAGCATGTCATCAGAGGGGAAAAAAATATTAAAACTGTAGTACCTCAAAAATAAGCCATATATTGTACTGTTTTCTATATAACATTCAAAAGTAAAATGAAAAATGAAATTTCACATTGAGACTCTGTTTTTCATCTTCAAAAAAATGTGTTTAAGTGATACAGGCCAAGTGCAGTGGCTGACTTATTATCCCAGCACTTTGGGAGGCCAAGTGGGACAGATTGCTTTTGAGCCCAGGGGTTTGAGACCAGCCTGGGCAACAGGGCGAAACCCTGCCTCTACAAAAAATAAATAAATAAAAATAAAATTAGCCAGGCATGGTGGCTTGTTCTTGTAGTCCCAGCTACTCAGGGGACTTGAGCCTAGGAGGTCAAGGCTGCAGTAGGCCGTGATTGTGCCACTGCACTCCAGCCTGGGTGACAGAGCGAGACCCTGTCTCAAAAATAATAATAATAGGCCGGGCGTGGTGGGTCACACCTGTAATCCCAGCACTTCGAGAGGCCAAAGCATGTGGACGACTTGAGGTCAGGAGTTCGAGACCAGCCTGGCCAACATGGGGAAACCCTGTCTCTATTAAAAGTACAAAAAATTGGCCGGGCGCGGTAGCTCACGCATGTAATCCCTACACTTTGGGAGGCTGAGGTGGGTGGATCACCTGAGGTCAGGAATTCAAGACCAGCCTGGCCAACATGATGAAACCGTCTCTACTAAAAATACAAAAAATTAGCTGGATTTAGTGGCGCACGACTGTAATCCCAGCTACTCAGGAGGCTGAGGCAGGAGAATCGCTTGAACCTAGGAGGTGGAGGTTGCAGTGAGCCAAGATCGTGACACTGTACCCCAGCCTGGGCAACAAGAGCAAAACTCGATCTCAGAAAAAAAATACAAAAAATTAGCTAGGCGTAGTGACGCACACCTGTAATCCCAGCTACTCGGGAGGCTGAGACAGGAGAATCCCTTGAACCCAGGAGGCGAAGGTTGTGGTGAGCCGAGCCAAGATCGTGCCATTGCTTTCCAGCCTAGGTGACAGAGCAAAACTTCATCTCCACAAACAAACAAACAAACAAAAAAACCCATAATCCCAGCATTTTGGGAGGCCAACACAGGTGAATTACCTGAGGTCAGGAGTTTGACACCAGCCTGGCCAACATAGTGAAACCCTGTCTCTACTAAAATTACAAAAATTAGCCAGGTGTGGTGGCAGGTGCCTGTAATCCCAGCTACTTGGGAGGCTGAGGCAGGAGAATCGCTTGAACCCAGGGGGCGGAGGTTGCAGTGAGCCGAGATCACACCATTGCACTCTAGCCTGGGTGACAAGAGCGAAATTCCATCTCCAAAAAAAAAAAAAGAAAACAGTATTTTAGTTTTAACTTTTTATGTAACCATTTTCCTGAAACCTTATCTAAAATTAGGATGTTATTACCATGCATTCATTTAGCAGAAAACTTATAGAACATTTTTACTAAGTGAACTGGCCATGGTTTTTATCTATCATTCCTTTGTATGTGACTACAATGACTTCTAGTGGTAACTTCTATCCAAAGACCTATCTTAAATTAGCCACGCATGGTGGCACATGCGTGTAATCCCAGCTACTCAGGAGGCTGAGGCAGGAGAATAGCTTGATCTTGGGAGGCGGAGGTTGCAAGTGAGCCGAGATCACGCCGCTGCAATCCAGCCTGGGCAACAGAATGAGACTCCGTCTCAAAAACAAAAAACAAAAAGACCTATCTTGAGCTTTCCGTGTAAGAAAAAGATGATACTGTTGGGTGAAGTGACTCAACGTCTGTAATTTCAGCAATTTGGGAGGCTGTAGCGGCCGGATTGCTTGAGCCCAGGAGTTTGAGACCAGCTTGGGCAACATGGGAACACACTGTCTCTACAAAAACAAAAATTAACCGGGCGTGGTCGCTTGCACCTATAGTGCCAGCTACTCGGGAGGCTGAGGTGGAGGCTGCAGTGAGCTGTGAACACACCACTGCACTCCAGCCTGGGTGACAGAGTGAGACCCTGTCTCAAAAAAAAAAGCAAGAAGCGCAGTGGCTCACGCCTGTAATCCCAGCACTTTGGGAGGCCGAGGCGGGCGGATCACGAGGTCAGGAGATCGAGACCATCCTGGCTAACACGGTGAAACCCCGTCTCTACTAAAAATACAAAAAATGAGCCGGGCGTGGTAGCGGGCGCCTGTAGTCCCAGCTACTCGGGAGGCTGAGGCAGGAGAATGGCGTGAACCCGGGAGGCGGAGCTTGCAGTGAGCCGAGATCGCGCCACTGCACTCCAGCCTGGGCGACAGAGCGAGACTCCGTCTCAAAAAAAAAAAAAAAAAAAAAAACAAGAAAGAAAAAAAGAAGATACTGAAAAATAGATGTCCCTAGTCAAAATAATGAGATTAGCTTTTGACTAAACTCAGGATATTAAAAGGGAATACTTCAGTGCATGATGATCTCATTTTTGAAAGGAAAGAAGCAGAGCTTCCCCATCTCTAAAACCTTAATTCAAAGGAGAAATAGATAATTTCAAGAGGTATTTTTATGAGGTAATAGTAAAATATATTTTATTAACAGTACCTATAGTTATGTAAAATAGGTAGTGCCAATTAACTGACACTAAACTAGCTTCTTGGCCTGGCGCAGTGGCTCACGCCTGTAATCCAAACACTTTGGGAGGCCGATGCGGGTGTATCGCTTGGGCTCAGGAATTCAAGGCCAGCCTGGGCAACATATTAAAACCCCCTTTCTATAAAATATACAAAAATTAGCCAGGCATGGTGTGTGCCTGTAGTCCCAGATACTCAGGAGGCTGAGGCACGAGAATCATGTGAACCCAGGAGGTGGAGTTTGCAGTGAGCCGAGATCACGCCACTGCACTCCAGCCTGGGCAACAGAGCAAAACTCTGTCTCAAATAATTAATAAATAAACTAGCTTCCTTTTCAAAAAAAGAAATAAATTAGGTCCTAAGTCCTAAAAGCCCATCCTACTTTAAAATTGTTTATTCAAGTTCAGATGAAAAGAGTGGACTAGTAGGCAACTGAAGTGCTTTAGAGTCTCCCGTGCCTGCCCTAATTTTAGAAGGTTGTGCACTTTATGATCCAGATTTCTGAGTGGTTGAGAATGAGTTATTGAGCAGTGCAAGGCAAGCTCTGCAGTAGGTAATGGATTGATGAGGCTGGATTTAGCAAGTCTGATCAATCTAAAGGAAGTTTCTGAATGTGTTTTTTGTAGTTAAAATACTCATAATTAAAACACTTATCACATTGTCACATTTTATTTTTAAATTGCAGGTAAACAAGTGAGAACCAAACTTTCACAGGCATTTAATCATTGGCTGAAAGTTCCAGAGGACAAGCTACAGGTATTAGGCAACTCTAACCTCATTAATCCCCAAGAAATTAATAGCTGTCGCATAAAAATATTCCTAGTTCTTGATTGAATTTAGTCCTCATGCAAGATATTATTTTATATTGAGGTTGCTAAATATTTATTAGTTGTGAAAATTAACACACCTGAGACTTTCATAATCTGTTAATTAAACTGAGTAAGTTTTGAATAGTTCAAATAAGTGAAATTTTCAATTTTTTTATTAGATTATTATTGAAGTGACAGAAATGTTGCATAATGCCAGTTTACTCATCGATGATATTGAAGACAACTCAAAACTCCGACGTGGCTTTCCAGTGGCCCACAGCATCTATGGAATCCCATCTGTCATCAATTCTGCCAATTACGTGTATTTCCTTGGCTTGGAGAAAGTCTTAACCCTTGATCACCCAGATGCAGTGAAGCTTTTTACCCGCCAGCTTTTGGAACTCCATCAGGGACAAGGCCTAGATATTTACTGGAGGGATAATTACACTTGTCCCACTGAAGAAGAATATAAAGCTATGGTGCTGCAGAAAACAGGTGGACTGTTTGGATTAGCAGTAGGTCTCATGCAGTTGTTCTCTGATTACAAAGAAGATTTAAAACCGCTACTTAATACACTTGGGCTCTTTTTCCAAATTAGGGATGATTATGCTAATCTACACTCCAAAGAATATAGTGAAAACAAAAGTTTTTGTGAAGATCTGACAGAGGGAAAGTTCTCATTTCCTACTATTCATGCTATTTGGTCAAGGCCTGAAAGCACCCAGGTGCAGAATATCTTGCGCCAGAGAACAGAAAACATAGATATAAAAAAATACTGTGTACATTATCTTGAGGATGTAGGTTCTTTTGAATACACTCGTAATACCCTTAAAGAGCTTGAAGCTAAAGCCTATAAACAGATTGATGCACGTGGTGGGAACCCTGAGCTAGTAGCCTTAGTAAAACACTTAAGTAAGATGTTCAAAGAAGAAAATGAATAATGTTAAGCCATTCTTGATTGGACCTCATAGCTTATTTTAGTTAATCTTTTTTTTGTCTTTTAGCCTTACCACCTTTTAAAAAATTTGTTATTCTCCAGAAACAGTAAATAGGTGAGTAGGGGTGGTGCAAGTGAATTCGTTTTCATTTAGAAGCCCCTCTGTACAGATAATCAAAATTCAAAGTTGAAAGAATCAAAAGCAGCCACAGTTATGTAGGTCTGATTTGAATGTCATAATTGCAGTGACAGGACATTGCCACCAACTCTATCCTACTACCATCAATGTTGTGTTTATTCCGTCAATAAAAAAGACTTGCTTCCAGGAATTTTTATCCATACACTTTCTAACTGTACTATCTGGGCAGTTCCAAGCCAGTTTCTATTAGCTAGCTGGACCAAAGACCACAAATCTCTTTTTTTCCTAAACGCTGCTGTAAGGAATATCTCACTTTTCCCCCCGGAAACACCCTCACTGAAGTCTTCTATGAAAAGGCTGATAATGGGCTGGGCGCGGTGGCTCACGCCTGTAATCCCAGCACTTTGGGAGGCCGAGGCGGGCAGATCACGAGGTCAGGAGATCGAGACCATCCTGACACGGTGAAACCCTGTCTCTACTAAAAATACAAAAAATTAGCTGGGCGTGGTGGTGGGCGCCTGTAGTCCCAGCTACTCGGGAGGCTGAGGCAGGAGAATGGTGTGAACCCAGGAGGCGGAGCTTGCAGTGAGCCGAGATAGTGCCTCTGCACTCCAGCCTGGGTGACAGAGCGAGACTCCGTCTCAAAAAAAAGGGCTGATAATGATAAACAGTGAGCACTCCGGTCCTTTTTCTTAGGTTTTCCTTTTTTCCTTCCTCTCCACCCCACAAGTTTTGCTTTTTAACCAAGGTGTCTCTGCTTGATGAAATTCACATGCTAGTCTAAATCTTTTTTTCTCCCTTGTAACATTTATGTGCCCCAAACTGGTTAGTATATGGGTACAGCATTCCCTTTCCAATTGGGAAGCGGAAAAAGAGAGTATGGGATATTTTAGAAGGGAGCCTTTGAACCTTATTATATTTCCCCATCATTGATAGTGACAATCTTAAAAGGGTTGTTTTCTTACCTTAAGTACAAAAGCATGGAAAAATGCGCTTTTCCTTCCCGCCCACATCACCACCCCGACTTGAAGACAGTAGGTGCTTGAATGGAAAGTGAGTAGGCATCTTTAATCGCCCTGATTAAAGGAAAGTGTTAGCCTGAGAGGGCCTGACTGAAAAGTAACCAAAGGCTTAATATCAAACACTAATTAGCTTTTTAGTGCCTTAACCCTGACCTGGTTACCAGTTTTCTGTAGTTTCTACACCCAAGCCACTGAAGTCATCTGTGGCCCAAGAGGTAGGACAAAAAAAAAAAAAAAAAAAGCTGATTTCAATATTTGATTTGTTGACATCCCAAAATGAAAGTTTTATGTTTCCCTTAGAAACATGTTTTGCTTGGTTCTATAGTATGTTACTTAGGATCTATTTACCATATATTTGTATGAGAAATCCTCACCCAAGCATTCAACCTAAATCTTTGAAAAGTTGGGTGCTGTCTTTAGTAACTTTTAAAATAGTTTAAATCTCCCATTTTAATAGTGATAAGGAAACCTGTTAAAATCATGGCTATTGATGTTATAGTATGGAAAGTTGAACTTTATGAACCCATACTTTTAAAAAGCATTTTTAAAAATCTAACACTGACTATAGAAACAAATTAAAATGTCTACCTTTAAGTATAAAAATTGCTTAAGTAGATTTGTTCCTTGCCTATCAAATTAATTTTGGCCTGGTGTTCTTCATTATTCATTTGTTAATTTTATCTTGCCTTTGTCAATAACAGAAATGTTTGTCATTGAATTGGGAATTTTTTTTTTTTTTTTTGAGACGGAGTTTCACTCTTGTTGCCCAGGCTGGAGTGCAATGGCGTGATCTCAGCTCACTGCAACCTCCACCTCCCGGGTTCAAGCGATTCTCCTGCCTCAGCCTCCTAAGTAGCTGGGATTACAGATGCCTGCCATGTTGCCTGGCTAATTTTTTTTTTTTTTTTTTTTTTAAGTAGAGATGGGGTTTCACCATGTTGGCCAGGCTGGTGTTGAACTTCTGACCTCAGGTGATCCAGCTGCCTCGGCCTCCCAAAGTACTGGGATTACAGGCATGAGCCACCGCACCCAGCCAAATTGGGGACTTTTAACAGTCATTTTACCTGTAGAATAATCAAAACTCTTCACTTGATCTGTAGTCATAGCTATTAACACAGAAAAATGAATGCCAGTTATGTTGCCATAAACCACCTTCTGAACTTGGCAAGATCTTAAAACCATCAACTGTTCTCTGTTCACTCTGTGAACTTCTTTCTACTTTACTTCCTTCTCTACCTCACCTGTACTCTATAGTCACTCACTTCAATGACACTTAAAGAGCATTCACTCTCAGATCACTTTTCTCCTTTCCTTGCCCATTCTTATCTTGCCAACTCCCAGTCCTGGATAAATCCAAACATCCACGTTCTTTGTGCATCCGTGTTGCTCAGTGCTGCTGGGGAACATTTTCACAACTGCTGTTGGAACCATTGTGAGTTTACACATTCCAGCCTCTGCAACGCCTTTATTTTCCATCTAATCTTTCCTAGCAGAGATTTCTATTTGTTTTGTTTTGGTTTGAGACAGAGTCTCGCTCTGTCTGGCAGGCTGGGGTGCAGTGGCACGATCTCAGCTCACTGCAACCTCCGCCTCCTGGGCTCAGGCAATTCTCCTGCGTCAGCCTCCCGAGTAGCTCAGATTACAGGCATGTGCCACCACGCTCAGCTAATTTTTGTATTTTTAGTAGAGACGGGGTTTCACCATGTTGGCCAGGCTAGTCTCAAACTCCTGACCTCAGGTAATCCTCCCGCCTCTGCCTCCCAAAATGCTGGGATTACAGGCGTGAGCCACCACGCCCGGTGTCAGAGATGTCTTATTAAAGATCCCCTTCTTCTCTTCTTCCTCTCTTCTCCCACTAAATAGAAACTCTCCTAACTTTCCTTCCCTCTACTTTAGGTCTGTCTTTACATAGTCTGCTATTTTCAAGAAGAGTTTGACCTGCCCTAGGTTCTCATGTGCTTGAATTTCCCCCTGTCTATTGAGGGCCTTGTCCCATTCCATCTTCCCTTCTAGATATCTCTCATCTAGATAATCTCAAGATCTATCCATTGATTCTTTTTTAATCAGTGTACTGAGAGGAAGAAAGAGGGCAAGGAAATACATACTTATGAAGTATCTTACCGGGTACTAGATACTTTACATGTTTTCCTCAAGCATTTACTGAGGAATGCCAGGGCCTTGAATACAGATCAAAGTACCTGGCTCTGCTGGGCGCAGAGGCTCATGCCTGTAATCCCAGCACTTTGGGAGGCCAAGGTGGGTGGATCACTTGAAGTCAGGAGTTCAAGACTGGCCTGACCAACATGGTGAAATCCCATCACTGCTAAGAAAATACAACATTAGCCGGGCGTGGTGGCACACGCCTGTAATCCTAGCTACTTGGGGGGCTGAGGCAGGAGATTTGCTTGAACCCGGGAGGCATAGGTTGCAATGAGCCAAGATCGCACCACTGCACTCCAGCCTGGACAACAAGAGCAAAACTCCATCTCAAAAAAAAAGAAAAAAGTACCTGACTCCTTCTGTACGTGCTGCCTTTAATTCTCTATGCACACTTGAATGTGTTTAAAAATTTGAAAAGCACTGGTTAGGCCGGGCGCGGTGGCTCACACCTGTAATCCCAGCACTTTGGGAGGTCGAGGCAGGTGGATCACGAGGTCAGCAGATCGAGACATCCTGGCTAACACGGTGAAACCCCATCTCTACTAAAACTACAAAAAATTAGCTGGGTGTGGTGGCGGGTGCCTGTAGTCCCAGCTACTCGGGAGGCTAAGGCAGAAGAATGGCATGAACCCGGGAGTCGACATCTCGTTACTGCACTCCAGTCTGGGTGACAGAGGGAGACTCCCATCTCCAAAAAAAAAAAAAGAAAAGCACTGATTTATTCTAATAATAGCTTCCTTTCTATAATCTCTCCCTACTATTCCATCTGTATCACAATTATGTCGTAGTGGCTGATATTCACTATTTGAAATACAGTCCCAGCACTTTGGGAGGCCGAGGTCAGGGGTTCAAGGACCAGCCTGGCCAGCATGGTGAAACCGCGTCTCTACTAAAAATAGACAAATTAGCCAGGCGTGGTGGCACACGCCTGTAATCCCACTTACTCGCGAGGCTAAGGCAGGAGAACCGCTTGAACCCAGGAGGTGGAGGTTGCAGTGAGCTGAGATCACGCCACTGCACTCCAGCCTGGGAACACAGTGAGACTCCATCTCAAAAAAAAACAAAAAACTACAGGAAAAGGCTCATGATAATGGAACCTACAATAATGTGAATTTAAATATAATGCAGTTGGCATTTGGCTCCCCATACCCACATTTGGTTAACTGAAGACTCACTGTAGTCATTTCATTAATCTTATAATATTTATCTTACTGAATATTTGGACCTTACAGTATTACTAGACTTTGTACTGGTTGGTAAAGAATAAGTGTAATAAGCAATAATATTAGTAATATAAATTTCAGTGTATATAGTTCAAGTTAATTGTTAGAATGCTTAATGACCATTGATTAATGAGAGAGATCTGGGTAACATCTGCCTTGTCATACATATTCTTTACAAAGTATGCTTTAGGAGAATGACCATTTATTATTGAATTATATTTATCACTGTACATAAAGAAAGAAATATACACTCAGAGATCTCAGAGTTGCTATAATAAGTAATGGAAGATATTTGGACCTCAGTGGGTGAGGTAGTACTAACGGTAAGCTGTAAAAGTAGTTTGTAAATCTCACCAAAACTTGTAAGTCACTTAAGAAAAACTAAAATGAGAATAGTTAAACATTTGTAGACTAAGAACATTTTCAAGAGATTTAGTATTTTTGTTTTATTTTTGAGATGGAGTCTTGCTCTGTCGCCCAGGCTGGAGTGCAGTGGTGTGATCTCGGCTCACTGCAACCTCCACCTCCTGGGTGCAAGCTATTCTCCTACCTCAACCTCCTGAGTAACTGGAATTACAGGTGCTCACCGCCATGCCCAGCTAATTTTTTGTATTTTTAGTAGAGACAGTTTCACCATGTTGGCCGGGTTGGTCTTGAACTCCTGACCTCAAGTGATCCACCCACCTCGGCCTCCCCAAGTGCTGGGATTAAAGGCATGAGCCACTGGGCCTGGCCAGGAGATTTAGTTTTAAATGATATTCTAACAGATATCAATACTTTATGAGAAAGAAATGGTTTATGTATTAAAGCTGACAGATTTAGTCAGTTAGCCATACTAAGTTAAAGAAATTGAAAATGAAGCAGATTATTGAACAAAAATTGTCATTTGAAACAAAACAAAGTAGCAATTTAAACAGACTAATAATTTTTTTTTTTTTTTTTTGAGACAGTCTCTGTCACCCAGGCTGGAGTGCAGTCGCATGATCTCGGCTGACTGCAACCTCCACCTCCTGGGTTCAAGCGATTCTCATGCCTCAGCCTCCCAAGTAGCTGGAGACTACAGGCATGTGCCAACATGCCCGACTAATTTTTTTGTATTTTTAGTAGAGACAGGATTTCACCATGTGGGCCAGGCTGGTCTGCAACTCCCGACCACAGGTGATTTGCCCACCTCGGCCTCCCAAAGTGCTGGGATTACAGGCGTGAGCCACTGTGCCCAGCCTCTTAATAGATTTTCTAATAAGTTTTTATGAAAATGCATTTATGGTTTGATAACAAAAGTGAAAGTATAATAATTTTTTAAGTTTAACCCTGAAACTTAGTTATTGTTTATTGAACCCTGAAACTTAGTTAAGGTTTGAAAAACTCCGTGAATTGAAATTGAACCAGCCGGGCATGGTGGCTCATGCCTGTAATCCCAGCACTTTGGGAGGCCGAGGCGGGCGGATCTGGAGGTCAGGAGTTCGAGACCAGCCTAACCAACATGGTGAAACCCCATCTCTACTAAAAATACAAAAATTAGCCGGGCATAGTGGTGCGTGCCTGTAGTCCCAGCTACTCAGGAGGCTGAGGCAGAAGAATCGCGTGAACCCAGGAGGCAGAGGTGGCACTGAGCCAAGATTGCACCACTGCACTCTAGCTGGGCAAGAGAGCAAGACTCCGTCTCAAAAAAAAAAGAGTGACTCAAAATAAAATGTAGCATATAAGCCGGGCACAGTGGCTCATGCCTGTAATCCCAGGACTTTGGGAGGCCGAGGCAGGTGGATCAGTTGAGGTGGGGAGTTCAAGACCAGCCTGGCTTGCCGGGCGCGGTGGCTCACGCCTGTAATCCCAGCACTTTGGGAGGCCGAGGCGGGCGGATCACGAGGTCAGGAGATCGAGACCATCCCGGCTAAAACGGTGAAACCCCGTCTCTACTAAAAATACAAAAAATTAGCCGGGCGTAGTGGCGGGCGCCTGTAGTCCCAGCTACTCGGGAGGCTGAGGCAGGAGAATGGCGTGAACCCGGGAGGCGGAGCTTGCAGTGAGCCGAGATCCCGCCACTGCACTCCAGCCTGGGCGACAGAGCGAGACTCCGTCTCAAAAAAAAAAAAAAAAAAAAAAAAAGACCAGCCTGGCCAACATGGTGAAACCCCGTCTCTACTAAAAATACAAAAATTAGCCAGGCATGGTGGTTCACACCTGTAATCCCAGCTACTTGGGAGGCTGAGACACAAGAATCGCTTGAACCTGGGAGGCGGAGGTTGCAGTGAGCCAAGATCATGCCACTGCACTCCAGGCTGGGTGACAGAGCGAGACTCCGTCTCAAAAAAAAAAAAAAAAAAGCAAACAAATGGCCAGACGCAGTGTCTCACACCTGTAATCCCAGCACTTTGGGAGGCCGAGGCAGGTGGATCACCTGAGGTCAGGAATTCGAGACCAGCCTGACTAACATGGAGAAACCCCACCTCTACTAAAAATACAAAATTAGCCGGGCGTGGTGGTGCCTGCCCTGTAATCCCAGCTACTCGGAGGCTGAGGCAGGAGAATCGCTCAAACCCGGGAGGCAGAGGTTGGGGTAAGCTGAGATCTTGCCATTGCACTCCAGCCTGGGCAACAAGAGCGAAACTCTGTCTCAAAAAAAATAGTAAAAATTAGGCCGGGTGCGGTGGCTCACGCTTGTAACCCCAGCACTTTGGGAGGCCGAGGCGGGCGGATCATGAGGTCAGGAGATCGGGACCATCCTGTCTAACACGGTGAAACCCCGTCTCTACTAAAAATACAAAAAATTAGCTGGGCGTGGTGGTGGGCGCTTGTAGTCCCAGCTACTTGGGAGGCTGAGGCAGGAGAATGGCGTGAACTCGGGAGGCAAAGCGTGCAGTGAGCCAAGATGGCGCCACTGCACTCCAGCGTGGGCGACAAAGCAAGACTCCGCTTCAAAAAAAAAAAAAAAAAAGTAAATTAAAATAAATTAAATAAATTAAAATAATTAAAATAAATTAAAATAAATTAAAATAAAATTGTAGCATTGTATAAATGAGTTAGCACTAAAGATAAAATATATACAATTTAAGACAGTATTATAACGATTAAGAAAAAATCTGAGTATAAATTCTGATAGTTCAGAGGAAGGCAAGAGAGGATCCAGCACCGTGAGAATGTCATTAATATTGGGAGAAATTCTCAATTTATTGAGACTGAAAGTCACCTATGAGTATCAATTTAATGAGGAAGTTGGAAGAATTTGATGCAGTTTCCTGTGTCACATCATGGCTCCAATAGGAATATATTATTTAGCTAGTGACTGCTGCAACAAACCAAAGATCACACCAGTAATTCCCAGCTGGCTTGGAATGTCATAGCATATATGGACAATTAATGTTTCCTGACTTACTGGATCTGTTCTTTCAGCCCATCTTGCACACAACTGCCAGATTAATATTACTGCTTTTTATGTTGAATACCTCTGTTCAAAAATCCTTTGTAGGACAAACACCTTAGCTTCACTGTCAAAGCTCTCTATAATCTGCTTCCCGTCTTATCTCCCATCATTCCTTAATAGGGTTTACTTCACCTAACCCTATCTATTCATTCTTAACTAAAGATATCCAGCCAGGTGCAGTGGCTCAAGCCTGTAATCCCAGCATTTTGGGAGGCCGAGGCAGAAAGATCGCTGGAGGCCAGGAATTCAAGACCAACCTAGGCAAAATGAAGAAACCTCATCTCCACAAAAAATAGACATAAAAAAATTAGCCAGTTGCTCCTGCATGTGTCTGTCAGGTGAATCCCTTGAAGTCAGGAGTTCAAGACCACCATGGCCAACATGGCAAAACCCCATCTCTACTAAATATGCAATAATTAGCCGAGTGTGGTGGCACATGCCTGTAGTCCCAGCTACTCAGGAGACTGAGGCAGGAGAATCCCTTGAACCCAGGAGGTGGAGGTTGCAGTGAGCCAAGATGGCGCCACTGCACTCCAGCCTGGGCAACGGAGCGAGACTCTGTCTCAAAAAAAAAAAAAAAAAAAAGATATCCTACAAGTTCTCACATTCATGCCTGTATTCATAATATGTCTGACATGTTTCCCTAGCCACTCATTAAATTTGCTGTATCTCTAACTTAAAGTTGTAATTTCTTGCTGAAGACCTCTCCAAATCAAAATGTCTATAATAAATAACAATGTAACTAAAAGAAACAAACCAATCCCCTTCACCCAGATAGAAAACGAGTAAGAGAATGGCCTTAGCTAAGTATTTCGTAGAGACCTTACAAAGCAAAACTTAAATATGGCCTTTGGTTAACTAATGGCCTTTCAAAGGCTATGACTGACTTAATACAAGGTCTTTTTGTTATGCCTTACAGACCAATTGCACTCTGCTGGTGAGACGCTGACTTCATAGTAAGGCAGCTGGAAAACATCTCTTTAACATGGATTCATGGCAGGATTTTTCCAATTCAAATAATGTACCATGTCCTTTAAAAGAAAAACAATACTCTTGGACCTCTACTGTTGACCTAGTTTTTTTTGTTTTACTAAATATATACTTAATATATAAAAGGTATACTTAATGCATAAAAAGGCATGAACTCTGTAGGTGCTATTAATACCCTTGTTTATTGGCTATTCTCCCATCCTAATTCTTCCTAATCACAGTTTAATTTCCTTTTGGTGAATTACCTCTCCCCAGTTGGGCACAGCCAAAGTAACCCATACAGAAGCCAAGGGGTATCAGGACATTGTTATATCTTTCCTCTCAGTGACCTGTACAGTCAAAGGTTGGATACATGACCTAATCTTGGCCAGTTGGACTGTCTCCAAGGAGATTCTTGAGTGGAGAAAACGCTTCACTTATCTGGCAGCATATGTTGGCCAAATGGTACCTGTTGCTGTGGTTCTTTGTCTCAGTTCTTTGTCTTGAACCTGAACCCGGTTCTCCTGCCCTCCTATTGTACTCTGAACTATCTAAAATCCTACTAATAAGTTAGTCAGGCTGGGCGCAGAGGCTCAAGCCTATAATCCCAGCACTTTGGGAGGCTGAGGCAGGCAGATCACCTGAGGTCGGGAGTTCAAGACCAGTCTGACCAACATGGAGAAACCCTGTCTCTACTAAAAATACAAAATTAGCCAGATATGGTGGCGCATGCCTATAATCCCAGCTACTCGGGAGGCTAGGGCAGGAGAATCACTTGAACCTGGGAGGGGGAGGTTGCAGTGAGCTGAGATCATGCCACTGCACTCCAGCCTGGGCGACAAGAGCAAAACTCTGTCTCAAATAAATAAATAAATAAATAAATAATAAGTTAGCCAGATCTCCCAGCTACATGAAGACAAAAAGAAAGCAAAAGATTCTATAAGAGATTATATAGTAAGTTACTATTTGTGAAAAAAAAAAATAAGGCCAGAAGCGGTGGCTCACGCCTGTAATCCCAGCACTTTGGGAGGCCAAGGTGGGCAAATCACCAGGTCAGGAGTTTGAGACCAGCCTGGCCAACGTGGTGAAACCCCATCTCTACTAAAAATACAAAAAAATAGCCGGGCATGGTGGCGCGCGCCTGTAGTCCCAGCTACTTGGGAGGCTGAGGCAGCAGAATTGCTTGAACCCGGGAGGCAGAGGTTGCAGTGAGCCAAGATTGCACCACTGCACTCCAGCCTGAGAAACAGACCAAGACACTGTCTCAAAAAAAACAAAACAAACAAACAAAAAAAACAAAAGAAAGAAAGAAAGAAGGAAGGAAGGAAGGAAGGAAAAAGCCGGGCATGGTGGCTTACGCCTGTAATCCCAGCAATTTGGGAGGCCAAGGCGGGCAGATCACGAGGTCAGGAGTTCGAGACCAGCCTGACCAATATGGTGAAACCATGTCTCTACTAAAAATACAAAAATTAGCCAGGCGTGATGGCTAACACCTGTAATCCCAGCTACTCAGGAGGCTGAGGGAGGAGAATTGCTTGAACCCAGGAGGCAGAGGTTGCAGTGAGCTGAGAATGTGCCACTGCACTCCAGCCTGGGAGACAGAGTAAGATTCCGTCTCAAAAAAAAAAGAAAAATATTTGCACAAAATATCTAGGGGTAGGACCTGGGAGACAGAGGACTAGGAGGTGGGAGGAGCAAGAGAGACTTCTCACTGTATACCTATTTATTACTTTTCATTTTTTGGAAGCATGTGAACATGTCATCTATTCAAATATTGAAATTTAAAAAATAAAGGCACCAGTAAATGAGAAAACCAACAATAAATGCTAAGCAGATAATTTCAAGAGTGGCTACTTACATTGGGTATCCGGGGAAGACCTCTGAGGGAGTAGCATTTAAGCTGAGCTCTGAATGATAAGAAATTAGCTATACCACAATCCTAGTAAAGAACATTTGAAACCAAAGGAATAGCCAACAAAGGTCATAAGGTGGGAAAGAATGGTGCCAATATGTACAAAGCAACATAGGTATTAGATTGTGTAGGAATTTGTAAATCATAGAAAGGACTTTAGGTTGGGTTTTTTTTTTTTTTTTTTTTTTTTTTTTTTTTTTTTGAGATGAAGTCTCGCTCTTGTCCCCCAGGCTGGAGTGCAGTGGCGCGATCTCGGCTCACTGCGACCTCTGCCTCCCGGGTTCAAGCGATTCTCCTGCCTCAGCCTCCCGAGTAGCTGGGATTACAGGCACCTGCCACCACACCCGGCTACTTTTTATATTTTTAGTAGAGACGGGTTTTCACTATATTGGCTAGGCTGGTCTCAAACTCCTGACCCCAGGTGATCCACCTCCCTCGGCCTCCCGAAGCGCTGGGATTACAGGCATGAGCCACTGCGCCCAGCCAGACTTTAGGTTTTAAAACTAACTGCAACTTGAAGCCGATGGATGGTTTTAAGAAAATGAGTAAGGCCAGGTGCCGTGGCTCACGCCTGTAATCCCAGCACTTTGGGAGGCCAAGGTGGGTGGACCACCTGAGGTCATGAGTTTGACACCTGAGGTCATGAGTTCGAGACCAGCATGACCAACATAGTGAAACCTCATCCCTACTAAAAATACAAAATTAGCTGGCCGTGGTAGCACATGCCTGTAATCCCAGAAACTTGGGAGGCTGAGGCAGGAGAATCACTTGAACCCAGGAGGCAGAGGTTGCAGTGAGGGAAGATTGTGCCATTGCACTCCAGCCTGGGCAATAAGAGTGAAACTCCATCTCAAAAAAGAAAAAAAAAAAGAAGAAGGGGAGTAAAGGCCAGGCGCAGTGGCTCACACCTGTAATTCCAGCACTTTGGGAGGCTGAGGCAGGCGGATCATGAGGTCAGGAGTTCGAGACCAGCCTGGCTAACATGGTGAAACCCTGTCTCTACTAAAAATACAAAAAATTATCCAGGTGTGGTGGTGTGCGCCTGTAATCCCAGCTACTCGGGAGGCTGAGGCAGGAGAATTGCTTGAACCCAGGAGGCGGAAGTTGCAGTGAGCTAAGATTGCGCCATTGTACTCCAGCCTGGGTGACAGAGCAAGACTCTGTCAAAAAAAAAAAAAAAAAAAGAAAGAAAGAAAGAAAAGAAGAGAGAAAAGAAAAGAAAAAAGAAGGGGAGTAACTAGATCTGAATTACCTTTATAAAAGATCATCCTGGCATCTGAGTGGATGATGGACTACAGAGAGTCAGAAGAGGAGGTAAGGAAACCAATTAGGAGGGTGTTTGAGTGTCCAGTGAGAGATGGTGGTAGCAGAGAACATGGTATGAAGTAGTTGAATTGGGGATTATTTAGAAAGTGGAGTTTATATGAATTACTGGTGGATAGGATGTAGAGTTAATGGAAAGAGGAGTCAAGGATGGTCTTTAGATTTTTTATAAGAAACTGAGTAGATGGTGATAAATCATAAATCAGACTTAGGAAGACAGGGAAAGGGTAGGTATTAGGGGGAAATTAGAGCTGCCTATCAAGCATCCAGGAGGAAATGTCACTGCATGCACAGGCTAGATTCAGGGGAGATTCAAGCAAGGCTGAAGTTAGATTTGTGGATCATTGGTGATCACTTAAGCCCAGGATTGGATAGGTTACCTAGAGATATTGTGTAAGAAAGAAAAGAAGGGGCCTCAGCACTGATCCTGGCATGCCACGTATAGGAGTATTTTTTTCTTTTCTTTTTTGAGATGGAGTTTCGCTCTTGTTGCCCAGGCTGGATTGCAATGGCACGATCTCAGCTCACCACAACCACCGCCTCCCGGGTTCAAGCAATTCTCCTGCCTCAGACTCCTGAGTAGCTGGGATTACAGGCATGTGCCACCATGCCCGGCTAATTTTTTGTATTTTTAGTAGAGACAGGGTTTCTCCATGTTATCAGGCTGGTCTCGAACTCCTGACCTCAGGTGATCCACCGGCCTCAGCCTCCGAAAGTGCTGGGAATACAGGCGTGAGACCCTGCGCCCAGGTTTTCTTTTTTTTTTTGAAACAGCTTTGCCAAGGCAAGATGGCTCCCATGCTGGTAATTCCAGCACTTTGGGATGCCAAAGAGGGAAGGATAGCTTGAGCCCAGGAGTTCAAGACCAGACCGGGCAACATAGTGAGACCTTGTCTCTAAATAAATAAATAAAAGCCAGGCATAATGATGCACACCTGTGGTCCCAGCTACTTGAAGGCCAAAGCGGGAAGATTGCTTGAGGTCAGGAGATGGAGACCACCCTGGGCAATATAGTGAGACCTTGTCTCTACAAAAAAAATTTAAAAATTAGCCAAGCGTGATGGCAAGTGCCTATAGTCCCAGCTACTCGGGAGGCTGAGGTGGAAAGATTGCTTGAGCCCAGGAGGTTGACGTTGCAGTGAGCCAAAATTACAACACTGCATTCCAGCCTGGGCAACAGGGCAAGACACTGGCTCCAGAAAAAAAAAAAAAAAAAAAAAAGGTTGGATCTGCTGGCTCACACTTGTAATCCCAGCATTTTGGGAGGCCGAGGCGGGTAGATCACCTGAGGTCAGGAGTTTGAGACCAAAAAATAATAATAATGATAAATAAATAAATAAATAAAAGAAAAAAACAGACAAACAAAGAGTTCAAGACTAGCCTGGCCAACATGGTGACATGGTAAAACCCTGTCTCTACTAAAAATACAAAAGTTAGCCAGGGGCTGGGCACAGTAGCTCATGCCTGTAATTCTAGCACTTTGAGAGGCTGAGGTGGGTGAACCACTTGAGGTCAGGAGTTTGAGACCAGCCTGGCCAACATGGTGAAACCCCACCTCTACTAAAAATACAAAAATTAGTCAGGTGTGGTGGTGCATGCCTGTAGTCCCAGCTATTTGGGAGGCTGAGGCAGGGGAATTACTTGAACCCAGGAGGTGGAGGTTACAGTGAGCCAAGATCGAGCCACTGCACCCCAGCCTGGGCTACGGAGCGAGACTCCATCTCAAAAAAAAAAAAAAAAAGTTAGCCAAGCGTGGTGGCACACACCTGTAATCCCAGCTATTCAGGAGGCTGAGGCACAAGAATGGCTTGAACCCAGGAGGTGAAGGTTGCAGTGAGCCAAGATCGTACCACTGCACTCCTGCCCGGGCAACAGAGCGAGACTGTCTCAAAAATAAATAATTAAATAAATAAACCTGCCAATAGCTTCTATGACCCAAAGATGAGATGCCCCTGGCCACCTCTAAAATCTCCTACAAGCTGATGTAACTATGAGAATTAAAGAGGACCCAAAACTGACTGAGATCAAATTTTCTGCTAGTCTTGCAAGATGGAGGTAGAGGAAGAATATACATTCTCTTCAGGATGCTGGACTGAGCGTGTGTTATTTTTTTCTCCCTTTTCAGAGAACACTAAAAGGAAAGTAAAAGAATAAAAAGGTTAATACAGCAAAATATAATTGAGAATGGGAAGGGCTAATTATGATCCATGTTAGTGAGTAAGAAATTTCAGGAAATTTCTTGGCCAGGCATGGTGGCTTATGCTTGTAAAACCAGCACTTTGAGAGGCTTAGGCAGGCAGATCACTTGAGGTCAGGAGTTTGAAACCAGCCTGGCCAACATGGCAAAACCTCTACTAAAAATGCAAGAAGTAGCCAGGCGTGGCGGTGCACACCTGTAATCCCAGCTACTAGGGAGGCTGAGGCGGGAGAATCGCTGGAACCTGGGAAGCCGAGGTTGCAGTGAGCCAAAATTGTGCCACTGCACTCTTGCCTGTGCGACAGAGCAAGACTCTGTCTCACAAAAAGAAAAAAAGAAGAAGAAGAAGAGAGACTAAAATGCAGAGACTGCAAGACTGCCCTTCAAAATGGAAGAGAGAGGCAGAATTGAGTTCTCTGCTTCAGAGTCACAGGCTGCAATCCAGGTGTCAGCCAGGTCTGGGTTCTCCTCAGAGGCTCTAGCAGGGAAGGATCCAATTTCAGGCTCCCTCGGCTTGGTAGAATTCATTTGCTTTCAGCTGTAGGATTCACAGTAGATTGCTTCCTCGAAGCCAGGAAGAAAGACAGAGACCCACACAGAGAGACAGGCAGGCTCTAGTGTCAGGCAGCTAACAAGACAGTCTTATAAAAATGTAATCATAGGAATGACATCCCATTATTTTTATCATTGTCTATTGGTTAAAAGCAAGTCACAGACCCTGCCCACACTCAAGGAAAGGGGATTAGGGAATTATACGGGGCTGAATACCCGGAGGCAGGGGTCACAGGGCCACCTTAAAGTCTGTCTCAAGTGGGTATTGTTTTGTTTTGTTTCATTTTGGCATTGGTAAGGAAGAGGGTATCAAAAGGTAGGGGCAGCTGCCTGTACATTGGATGAAAATATGCTGAAATTGATGGGGGCGAGTCCAGTCTAACCCCACCCCAACTCTGACTTCAGTCATGCCAAAGAAAGAGATATGGAGATTGGAGCTATTTCCTCACCATTTTATAACTTAACTGCCTGCAGAGTACTCTGTAGATCTAATGTACAGTACAAAAAGATGAAACAATAGAATGCGGAAGGCTGGGTGAGATGGCTCACGCCTGCAATCCCAGCCCTTTGGGAGGACCAGGCTAGCGATCACTTTGAGCTCAGGAGTTCGAGACCAGACTGGGCAACATGGTGAAATCCCGTCTCTACCAAAAAAAAAAAAATTAGGCATGGTGGAACATGCCCGTAGTCCCAGCTACTAGGGAGGCTGAAGCTGGAGAATGGCTTGAACCTGGGAGGCAGAGGTTGCAGTGAACTAAGATCATGCCACTTCACTACAGCCTGGGCAATGGAGTGAGACCCTGTCTCAAAAAAAAAAAAAAAAGGCCGGGTGTGGTGGCTCACGCCTGTAATCCCACCACTTTGGGAGGCTGAGGCAGGTAGATCACCTGTCAGGAGTTCAAAACCAGCCTGGCCAACACGGCGAAATCCCATCTCTACTAAAAATACAAAAATTAGCTGGGTGTGCTGGTGCGTGCCTGTAATCCCAGCTACACGGGAAGCTGAGGAGTAGAATTGCTTGAACCCGGGAGGTGGAGGTTGCAGTGAGCCGAGATCATGCCACTTCACTCCAGCCTGGGTGACAAAGTGAGACTCCATCTGAAAAAAAAAAAAAAATCAGAAGAGGTTTCGGTTGTATTGGATTGGACTCTTGTATTTATGATCAAGGAAGTTACAGCAAATGGGTAAGAGTTCAGAAAATTTTGGGGGGAGCTGAGATAAGGTGGAGGAAGCCACAGCTTCCAGACGTTAGATGCAAAAATGAAGGGTGATAGGGTTTGGATATTTTTTCCCCCAAAATCTCATGTTGAAATGTAATCTCCAGTGTTGAAGGTAGAGCCTAGTGTGGGAGGTGATTCTATCATAGGGGTGATTCTATCATATTAAACTCATTAATAGTTTGACACCATCCTCTTGGTGATAAGTTAGTTCTCCCTCAGTTAGTTCATGGGAGATCCAGTTATTTAAAAGTATGTGGCACCTCCCCACTAGCTTTCTCTTGCTCTGGCTTTTGCCATGTGACACACCTGCTCCCCCTTCGCCTTCCACCACGATTGTAAGCTTGCTGAGGCCCTCACCAGAAGGATATGCCAGCACCACACTTCTTGTACTGTCCAGAACCGTGAACAAATTAAATCTCTTTTCTTTAGAAATTACCCAGCCTCAAGTATTTATTTGTTTATTTGTGTTTTTTATTTTTTTGAGATGAAGTCTTGCTCAATCACCTAGGCTGGAGTGCAGTGGCATGATCTCGGCTCACTGCAACCTCCGCCTCCCTGGTTCAAGCCATTCTCCTGCCTCAGCCTCTCAAGTAGCTGGGACTACAGATGTGCGCCACCATGCCCGGCTAATTTTTGTGTTTTTAGTAGAGACGGGGTTTCGCCATGTTAGCCAGGCTGGTGTCGAACTCCTGACGTCAGGTGATCAGCCTGCCTCGGCCTCTCAAAGTGCTGGGATGACAGGCGTGAGCCACCATGCCTGGCCAAGTATTTCTTTATAGCAACACAAGAACAGCCTAACACGGAGGGGATGGGTCCTGGACCATTATTTAGAGTCATCCCATTCACCCCTTTCAGTTTCACAACCCATCCAAAGTAACCTCTCAGTGTTTTGCATTTTTTTTTTTTTTTTTTTGAGACAGAGTCTCGCTGTGACGCCCAGGCTGGAGTACAATGGTGCAGTCTTGGCTCACTGCAACCTCCACCTCCTGGGTTCAAGGGATTCTCCTGCCCCAGCCTCCCGAGTAGCTGGGACTACAGGTGAGAGCCACCATGCCCAGCTGATTTTTGTATTTTTAGTAGAGATGGGGTTTCACCATATTGGCCAGGCTGGTCTCGAACTCCTGACCTCAAGTGATCGGCCTGCCTGGGCCTCCCAAAGTGCTGGAATTACAGGTGTGAGCCACCACGCCTGGCTATTTGTTTTTTTTTTATACTTAGCATAATTATTTTGAGATTCATACATGTTGTTGCATAGATCCTCCATTCACTCCCTTTTATTGTGGAGGAGAATTCCATTTATGAATATATCACAATTTATTCATTCATCTTTTGATAGCCATTTGAATTGTTTCCTGTTTGGGGTTTATCAAAAGTAAAATTACTGGCCGGGTACGGTGGCTCATGCCTGTAATCCTAACACTTTGGGAGGCCGAAGCGGGAGGATCGCTTGAGCCCAGAAGTTCAAGACCAGCCTTGACCCCTCCTGGGGTCCCTCACCCTCACTCACAGCTCTACTCTGGTGAGGTGGCTGGTGGGGGAGTTGTATCTGGACCCCCAGTGGGTCCCAAGGGGTTAGGGGCTGCCTCATCCACTGGGGCCCCTGGTAGGAATAAGCAGCACCCCGCATGCACTACCCCCATTTCAGTATCAAGCTCGGGTTGGTGGTGCTCCCCCTACAAAGATGTCTAACACTCCAATGGGTGATGGGAACCTATCCTCTGCTTCACCACCAACCACCTTCCCCCATGTGGCACCAAACCTGCCTCCCCCATCTGCCCAAGCCCCCTCAACAATGCATCAGCAGCTGGGCATGGTGGCTCATGACTGTAGTCCCAGCAGTTTGGGAGGACAACACAGGAGGATCACTTGAGGTCAGCAGTTCGAGACCAGCCTGGCCAACATGGTGAAACCCCGTCTCTACTAAAAATATAAAAATAGTCGGGCGTGGTGGTGCGCATTCGTAGCCCCAGCTACTCGGGAGGCTGAGGCAGGAGAATCGCTTGAACTCAGGAGGCAGAGGCTGCAGTGAGCCAAGATAGTGCCACCGCACTCCAGCCTGAGATACAAATCTAGAATCTGTCTCACAGAAAGCAAAACAAACAAAAAACCCCAGCACATTAGCTTCTCCTCCAGGCCCGGGGCCCCTGCCCTGTGGCACAGGGAGAGAGCATCTGTCCTCTCCCTGTGCCACGGGGCAGGGAATGGGAGGGTTTCCTCCTGGCCCAGAGAACGACTTGACTCTAGCTCCCACAGCCCACCCTCTGCCCCGGCTCCCTGCTTCCTCTTCTTCCGCCCCACTGAGGTTTCTTTACTCATGCTCTAGTAGCAGCTCTGCGGCAGCCTCCTCTTCCAGTTCTTCCTCCTCCTCCTCTGCCTCCCAGTACCCTGCTTCCCAGGCATTGCCCAGGTATCCCCACTCCTTCCCTCTTGCAACAAGCCTCTCTGTCCCCAATCAGGCCCCCAAGTATACTCAATCTTCTCTTCCAGCCCAGGCTGTGTAGAGCCAGGGTCCCCCACAACCTCCTGTGGCGGCCTCTTAGGCTTCCTCCTTCTCCTGGAGGCCAATCCACTGCCCACATCACCCCCAACACATCACCATCACCACCAGCAGCAACACTGTGGAAGCTCCAGGCCCCCTCCACCTGGAGCATTTCCCCACCACCTGGAGAGCTGTAGCCACATAGCCCCATACCATGCACACTCTTTTTTTTTTTTTTTTTTTTGAGACGGAGTTTCACTTTTGTCACCCAGGTTGGAGTGCAGTAGTGGCACTATCTTGGCTCACTGCAACCTCTGCCTCCTAGGTTCAAGTGATTCTTCTGCCTCAGCCTCCCAAGTTCCTGGGATTACAGGCGCTCACCACCATAAGTGGCTAATTTTTGTATTTTTAGTAAAGACAGGGTTTCACCATGTTGGCCAGGCTGGTCATGAACTCCTGACCTCAGGTGATCCACCTGCCTCGGCCTACCAAAGTGCTGGGATTACAGGCGTGAGCCACAGCGCCCGGCCAATGCACACTCTTATGCCATGTGTTCCTCCCTGGGGTCTCTTTGGCTCTATCCATCAGGGCCAGCATACCTGGCCCCATCTCACAGCCAGATGTCCTACAGCCAAGCAGGCCCCAATTGCCCCCTACCTCCCACGGTCTCTTCTTCTCTTTTTTTCCTCCTCTCAAGGGTCCTACCCACTTTCACACACCTCCCAGGGCCCCTACCTCTTCCTGCTGGTGCCTACGGTCACCACCTCCTTGGCTGCCCTTTCCACTGCCATTGCTATTGTGGCTTCCTCACCAGCAGACTACAAAACAGCCTACTCGCCTGGGCCCACGCCATAGGGAGAGAAAGCTGCATCCCCAGGGACTAGAAGACAGGCCACACAGATACAAGCCAGGGTGCCTCTCTCCATCTGAAGGGGACCCCATCGGGTCAAACCAGTCTTGCCCACTGTGGGACCTGTCACTTGTGAGCCCTCAGGTGTCATCTCTGCCACCACCACCTGTGGCCCCTGCCTCAGGGTTACCCCTAAGCACCAGACAGATCAAACAGGAGCTTGCTGAGGAGTATGAGACCACTAAGAGTCCAGTGCCCCCAGCCTACAGCCTCCAACTCCTCCTAAGGTGGTGGTAGTCCTTTCCAGCCATGCCAGTCAGTCAGCCAGGTGAGTGGGTACGGGAGGGTGAGCCTGGAAGGGGGTTATGAAGGGGCGACAGAGAGTGGCACAAGAGGGGCTTTCTGTTTATGTGGTGGTTTTTGTTGTTGTTGTTGTTTTTTTGAGATGGTTTCGCTCTTGTTGCCCAGGCTGGAGTGCAATGGCGCGATCTTGGCCCACTGCAATCTCCGCCTCCTGGGTTCAAGCGATTCTGCTGCCTCAGCCTCCCAAGTAGCTAGGATTACAGGCATGTGCCACCACACCTGGCTAACTTTGTATTTTTAGTAGAGACAGGGTTTCTCCATGTTGATCAGGCTGGTCTTGAACTCCTGACCTCAGGTGATCCACCCACCTCAGCCTCCAAAGTGCTGGGATTACAGGCGTGAGCCACCATGCCCAGCCTATGTGGTGTTTTTTATCTTATTTTTTATTGAGACAAGGTCTTGCTCTGTCACCCAGGCTGGAAGGCTGGAGAGCAGTAGTGTGATCATGGCTCACTGCAACCGTGAACTCCTGGGCTCAAGCGATCCTCCCACCTCAGCCTACATGCCTGGAGCTGGGATGACAGGCACAGGTAGGAGCAACTGGCTAATTTTTTTATTTATATTTTTTGTATATTTTTTTTGTAGAGAATATATATATTTATATATATTTATATATATTTTTGTAGAGAATATATATAAATATATATTTTTATAATATAAAATATAAAAATATAAAAAATATATATTTTTTTTCTAGAGAAGGGGTCTCTATGTTGCCCAGGCTGGTCTCCAACTCCTGGGCTCAAGTGAACCTCCCGAAGTGTGGAGATTACAGGCATGAGCCACCGTGCCTGGCCTTTTGGTGAAATTTTGAGTCAAAAAAATTTTTTTTGAGACAAGGTCTGGCTCTGTTGCCCCAGCTGGATTGCAGTGGTGCGATCTCGGCTCACTGCAGCCTCTGCCTCCTGGGTTCAAGCAATCCTCCCACCTCAGCCTCCTGAGTAGCTGGGATTACAGGTCCATGCCACCACACCCAGCTAATTTTTGTATTTTTAGTAGAGATGGGTTTCACTACGTTGGCCAGGCTGGTCTCAACCTCCTGGCTCAAGTGATCCACCCGCCTTGGCCTCACAAAGTGCTGGGATTACATCATGAGCCACTATTCCTGGCCTTCACTCAAATCTTTTTGTCCATTTTTCTATTGGGGTTTTCTTTTTCTTATTGTTCAGTTTTGAGGGTTCTTAAATATATTCTGGATTGAATGGGCTCATGGATATTTATGAAATCATGCCCCCCAAGAGTTAAAGATACCAGTGACTGTTACCAAGCAAAAGGAGCTCACTGCCCGGTGGTACAGAAGTCAAATGCTATGGCACTAGGTTTTTGAGAAGAAAAAAAAAAAAGCTTTATTGTGAGTCAGCCAACAAAGAGACAGGAGGCCAGCTCAAATTGGCCTCCCTGTGCAATTCTTAAGTCAGTGCTTTTTAAACTTTTTATTGTATTTTATTTTTTAGAGACAGAGTCTTGCTTTTTTGCTCAGGCTGGAGTGCAGTGGCTTGATCTCAGCTCAGGTCACTGCAACACCTGCCTCCCAGGTTCAAGCAATTCTCCTGCCTCAGCCTCCCCAGTAGCTGGGACTAAATGTGCATGCCACGATGCCCGGCTCTTTTTTGTATTTTTTTTTAGTACAGATGGAGTTTCACCATGCTGGCCAGGCTGGTCTTGAACTCCTGACCTCAAGTGATCCACCCACCCCTGCCTCCCAAAGTGCTGGGAGTAAAGGCATGAGCCACAACGCATAGCCTGCAAATGGGTTTTGTTTTATTTATTTATTTATTTATTTATTTATTTATTTATTTATTTATGAGACGGAGTCTCGCTCTGTTGCCTAGGCTGCAGTGCAGTGGTGTAATCTCAGCTCACTGCAACCTCCGCCTCCCAGGTACCAGCAATTCTCCTGCCTCAGCCTCCCAAGTAGCTCGGATTACAAGGGCATGCCACCACACTCGGCTAAGTTTTGTATTTTTAGTAAAGACGGGATTTAACCATGTTGGTCAGGCTGGTCTCAAACTCCTGACCTCATGATCTGCCCACCTCGGCCTTCCAAAGTGCTGGGATTACAGGCGTGAGCCACTGTACCCAGCCTCTACAAGTGGGTTTTTAAAGGAAAAAAGAAGAGGTAGTTCCTAAGTTGTTTACCAATAATAATTTACATTAAAATAAAATAAGTTATTGATTGGCTACACATTGTTTTATTTTATTTTATTTTTTGAGATAGAGTCTCACTCTGTAGCCCAGGCTGGAGTGTAGTGGTGATATCTGGTCTCACTGCAACCTCCACCTCCTAGGTTCAAGCAATTCTCCCGGCTCACCCTCCCAAGTAGTTGGGACTACAGGCACGCACCACCATGCCTGGCTAATTTTTGTATTTTTAGTAGAGACGAGGTTTCACCATATTGGCCAAGCTGGTCTTGAACTCCTGACCTGGTGATCCGCCCGCCTCGGCCTCCCAAAGTGTTGGGATTACAGGCATCAGCCACCGCGCCTGGCCTATTTTTTCTTTTCTCACCAACTAATGGAAAAGTGAGGGCTTTATTTATGTATTCATTTTCAGATGGAGTCTTGCTCCGTCCCCCAGGCTGGAGTGAAGCAGCACGATCTCGGCTTACTGTAGCCTCTGCCTCCTAGGTTCAAGCAATTTCTGCCTTAGCCTCTTGAGTAGCTGGTTTTACAGGCATGTGCCACCACACCCCACCCAGCTAATTTTTTTTTTTTGAGACGTAGTCTAGTTGTGTCACCAGGCTGGAGTGCATGGCGCGATCTCGGCTCACTGCAACCTCCGCCTCCCAGGTTCAAATGATTCTCCTGCCTTAGCCTCCCAAGTAGCTGTGATTACAGGCACACAGCACCATGCCCAGCTAATTTTTGTATTTTTAGTAGAGACAGGGCTTCACCCTGTTGGCCAGGATGGTCTCAATTTCTTGACCTTGTGATCCACCCGCCTCAGCTTCCCAAAGTACTCGGATTACAGGCATGAGCCACCACGCCTGGCCTTTTTTTCTTTTTTGAAACAGGGTCTCACTCTATTGCCCAGGTTGGAGTGCAGTGTTGAGATCTCAGCTCACTGCAACCTCTGTCTCCCCTGCTCAAGAGATTCTCCCAACTCAACGTCCTGAGTAGCTGGGACTACAGGCACCTACCACCACGCCTGGCTAATTTTTGTGTTTTTTTAGAGACAGGGTTTCGCCACATTGCCCAGGCTAGTTTTGAACTCTTGAGCTCAAGTGATCTGCTTGCCTCGGCCTCCCAAAATGCTGGGATTATAGGTGTGAGCCACCGTGCCCTGCTGAGGAGAGTCTTAGTTTGGGATCCATGGATTCCTTTGAGGCCTATTCATGGGCTTCAAAGGATTAATCAGTCCTTGAAATCATACGCAAAATTTGTGTGTAGGTAGATAGCTTTTATCAGATTTCCAATGTGGTTTTTAATCCCCTCTTCCAAAGAAAAAACAATCACTGTAATATCTAGTTTCTAGTTTCAAGGAGTGAACTATCAAAGTATAAAACAGTAGAGACATCCAGCAGGATACTGACTGTTTGTGTCCATTTAATATGACAATTAGAAGGTCACTTCTTGGAAGAGTCATTTGGCTTTGCTCCCTCAATTTCCTTTCCACTTCACCTCACTTCAGTCTGGTTTTGGAATGCTAACACTCACTCTACCCAAACTGCTCTTGTTGTGGAGTCTGTGGTATCCACCAATGGGTTCTTTCTGCCTGCTGCACAAACAAAATTAATTGACAGAAACCATGGCATTGCAGTAAAGAAAGTTTAATTGACGCGAGGCTGGCCATGCCACGTGGGAGACAGAGTTGTTACTCAAATCCATCTCACCAAAGGCTCAGAGGTTAGGGGGTTTTTCAGATAGTTTGACAGGTACGGGGCCAGGGAATGGGGAGTGCTGACTGGTTGGGTCAGAGGTGAAATCATAAGAAGTAGAAGCTGTCCTCTTGCACTGAGTTGGTTCGTGGATCCCCAGGTTGATGAGTCAGGGTGGGGCCATCCACTTGTCAGAAATGCAAAAACCTGAAAAGACATCTCAAAAGGCCAATCTTAGGTTCTACAACAGTGATGTTATCTGCAGGAATGATTGGGGAAGATGCGAATTTGTGACCTGTGGAATAATGGGTGGTAATCATTTAACTACAATTACAACTTAGAAGAATTCAGGACCCTCTCATTCTCCTAACTTGGTGGCCTTTCATTTAGTTTTAAAAGGGCAGTTTTGGGGAAGGGTTATTATCATTTAAACTATAAACTAAATTTCTCCCAAAGTTAGTTTGTCCTGTGCCCAGGAATGAGCAAAGACAGCCAGTCTGTGAGGCTAGAATCAAGATAGGAGTAAACCATGTCAGATTTCTCTTACTGTCAAAATTTTGCAAAGGCGGTTTCAACAGAAATTAACATGTCTAGGATAGTTGCTTTTTCTATTATTTTTTCTATCACTGCATTTACTTTCATTCTGCCTTATGCTTTAACTAGGTAATTTTTTTTTTTTTTTTAGTTTTGGCGGTATCAACACTATATTCTTCTCTTTGACCACCGCATGCTGCCTACGTGGTAGACTCTCAATACGCATGGAACTGAACCTCTTACAGGATTTGTAACTCACTTCTGTGGTATCTAGTAAACTGGAACACGCGCTTTCCCTGGGCTGCTCTGTCATCCCAGGTTTCAGCACTCGGAAATCGCTTGGGCCCCCGCCCAGAGGCGGGGCTTGGGTGGGCTGACCACTCCTCTGGCCTCCAATACTGTCGCTGACATTCTCGTCTATGCTCCAGCAGCCGTACCTCACTCCGGTGGAGGCGGGACTTCCTACAGCACTTCCGGCCAGAGCCTCAAGCTTCGCTGCTGGGCAGTTGGCTGGAGGGGCTGCTGCTGGGAACACCTGGAGTCTCCGCGGGCAGGTGAGCTTCAGAGGTTCGGGGAGCTTTCGGAACGAGCATTCCTGGCCGGTGCGTCACCCTGCAGTGCTCTTGGCCTTTTCTTCCTTTCCTGGAATCTTCCCAGATTGCCAGAGCCGGGCGTTGCCTGCTCCGTGCGCTGGGAGGCGGTCCAGCCGGCTGGGTTGGGGCCACCCTGCGCCTCCTGGAAGGCCTTATTTAGGAGTAGCCGCACGTGATCTCTAGCATTTTAAGCTTCTCTCAGAGAATTGGCATGTCACTTTGGAAGAGGTGAAAATGGTACAGGCGACCAACGACTTTTACAAGGTGTCACCTTAGAGGAACAGCCTCGTCCTTCCGAATCAGTTAACATTGGTGATGACAGAGAAATAACGTTAAATAGGTGGAGAGCACTTAAAGTAACTGTTTGTTCTTTTGAGACAGTCTTGCTCTGTCGCCCAGGCTGGACTGCAGTGGCGCGGATCTCTGATCTCGGCTTACTGCAACCTCCGCCTCCTGGGTTCAAGCGATTCTGCTGCCTCAGCCTCCCGAGTAGCTGGGATTACAGGCGCGTGCCACCACGCTCGGCTAATTTTTGTATTTTTAGTAGAGACAGGGTTTCTCCATGTTGGCCAGGCTGCTCTCGAACTCCTGATCTCAGATGATCCACCCGCCTCGGCCTCCCAAACTGCTGGGATTACAGGCGTGAGCCACCGCGCCCGGCCTAAAGTAACTATTTTTACTTGGTGTTTACTACCAAATGGGGACTGTTCTAAGTTGTGGGTGGATCCAAATGATGGTGTGACAGCCTTATCCTCAGAGAAGCAGTCCTGGCAGGAAGACGGGGTTAACAAATTGCCAAACTGTTAGAGAAAGTTAGTGGAGGTAGAGATGAAGAGAGAAGACTTTTCTTTTCTCTGGCATTAATTTAGCCACGGCCGCTGTGTTTTGATACTTGCTTCAAACGTTTTTCATATTCTTAAGTTTTAACTTTTCTGTATGCTCATATTTTATATACTGTTGTAAACAGCATATCTCTGGGTTTTTTTTTTAATCTAAGTGGACAGCCTGCTTTTTTTTTTTTTTTTTTTTTTTGATATGGAGTCTTGCTCTGTCGCCCAAGGCTGGTGTGCAGTGGCCCAATCTCAGCTCACTGCAACCACGCCTCCCAGGTTCAAGCATATCTCCCACCTCAGCCTCCCGAGTAGTTGGGATGACAGGTGTGTGCCACCATGCCCAGCTAATTTTTTTTTTTTTGTATTTGTAGTAGAGATGGGGTTTCGCCATGTTGGCCAGACTGGTTTTGAAGGCCTGACTTCAGGTGATCCACCTGCTTCAGCCTCCCAAAGTGCTGGGGCTACAGGTGTGAGCCACCGTGCCCAGCCCAGTCTGCCTTTTGACTAGCAGGTTTATTGGATTTACATTCATTGTCACTACTGAAATATTTGTCTAGATGAAAATCTTTGGTATCATCCCTGATTAATCTCTTCCATATATATCAGCAAATCCTATGGACTCTCCACCTTTAAAATCTGTCCACACTCCCAGGCTCTTGTTATCACCTTCACTTGTTCAAGTTACGTTGTCTCGTACTTGAATTACTGCAGTAGTTTCTGCTCTTTCCTCTTTTAGTCTGTTTGCATCACAGTATCTCGGTTGATCCTTTAAAAAAAAATCAGATTTATGTCTTTCCTCTCAAAAATCCTCCAAGGACTACACATTTCACCTGGAGTGAAAGCCAAAGTCGGCCGGGCGTGGTGGCTCATGCCTGTAATCCCAGCACTTTGGGAGGCCGAGGTGGGTGGATCACGAGGTCAAGAGGTCGAGACCATCCTGGCCAACATGGTGAAACCCCGTCTCTACTAAAAATACAAAAATTAGCCGGGCGTGGTGGTGCGTGCCTGTAATCTCAGCTACTCAGGAGGCTGAGGCAGAAGAATCGCTTGAACCCGGGAGACAGAGGATGCAGTGAGCCGAGATCGTGCCACTGCACTCCAGCCTGGCGATAGAGCAAGACTCTGTCTCAAAAAAAACAACAAAAACAAAAAAAACAAAAACTGGCTGGGCGCAGTGGCTCAAGCCTGTAATCCTGGCACTTTGGGAGGCCAAGACTGGTGGATCACCTGAGGTCAAGTGTTCAAGACCAGCCTGGCCAAAGTGGCGAAACCCCGTCTCTACTAAAAAAAAACACAAAAAATTACCCAGGTGTGGTGGTGTGTGTCTGCAATCCCAGCTATTAGGGAGGCTGAGGCAGGAGAATTGCTTGAACCTGGGGGCAGGCGCGGAGGTTGCAGTGAGCCGAGATTGTGCCATTGCACTCCAGTCTGGGCAACAAGGGCAAAACTCTGTCTCAAAAAAAAAAAAAAAGCCGAAGTCTTCAGAGTGGATTATTCATCGAAGGTCCTATGTGACCTAGCCCTGCTTCACTGCTGATCTCATGTCGTTCTCATCTCCTGTTTGCTCTACTGTATGGTCTCCTCAAGCGCATCCTAGCCTCAGGATATTTGCACTTGCTATTCCTTTCCCTCATATGTCCACATGGCTCAGTTCTTTACCTCTCTCATATTTTGGGGACCTTTACCTTCTCAGTAAGGCCTTCTCTGACAAGCCACTGCCATCTTTAACATTTCCATTGCACTCGTTATCCTTGTGCTTATCATCATATGACATGCCATGTGATAGAGTCATTTATCTGGTTTATTATGTTTTCTCTCACTGGCATAGAAGGTTTATGAGGGCAGGTATTTTTCTGTTTTGTTTACTGCTGTATTCTTTTTTTTTTTTTTTTTCTGAGACGGATTCTTGCTCTGTTGCCCAGGCTGGAGTGCAGTGGTACGTTCTCGGCTCACTGCAACCTCTGCCTCCTGGGTTCAAGCAATTCTCTGCCTCAGCCTCCCAACTAGCTGTGATTACAGGCGCATGCCACCATGCCTGGCTAATTTTTGTATTTTTAGTAGAGATGGGGTTTCACCATCTTGGCCAGGTTGGTCTTGAACTGCTGACCTTGTGATTCACCCGCCTCAGCCTCCCAAAGTGCTGGGATTACAGGCGTGAGCCACTGCACCCGGCATTTTTTTTTTTTTTTTGGGAAGATCTCTTATTGTACTTCCCTGTAAAATCCATTACTGTTTTATTCCAATTGCCTAAAATAGTATCTGGCTTTTAGCAGACACTCCATAATATAATTGTTGATTGAATGAATTTGGGGTTTTTGCACCATCTTCTACACTTCATATTTTTATGCTTTTTTCCTCCTTGTCTTTTCTTTTTTTTTTTTTTGAGATGGAGTCTTGCTCTGTCGCTCAGGCTGGAGTGCAATTGTGTGATGTCGGCTCACTGCAACCTCCGCCTCCCGGGTTCAAGCGATTCTCCTGCCTCAGTCTCCTGAGTAGCTGGGATTACAGGCGCACGCCACCACGCCCAGCTCTTTTTTGTATTTTTAGTAGAAATGGGGTTTCACCATGTTGGTCAGGTTGGTCTTGAACTCCTGACCTCATGATCCGCCCGCCTCAGCTTCCCAAAGTGCTGGGATTACAGGTGTGAGCTATCACGCCTGGCTTTTTTTTTTTTTTTTTTTTTTTTTTTTTTTTTTGAGACAGAGTGGTTGCTCTTGCTGCCCAGGCTAGAGTGCAATTGCATGATCTTGGCTCACCGCAACCTCCGCCTCCTGGCTTCAAGCAATTCTGCCACCTCAGCCTCCTCAGTAGCTGGGATTACAGGCATGCGCCACCATACCTGACTAATTTTGTATTTTTAGTAGAGATGGGGTTTCTCCATGTTGGTCAGGCTGGTCTTGAACTTCTGACCTCAAATGATCCACCTGCCTCAGCCTCTCAAACTGCTGGGATTACAGGCGTGAGCCACCGCCCCCGGCCACTCTTGTCTTTTTTTTTTTCCCTTTTTTTTTTTTTTTGAGACAGGGTCTCCCTCTGTCACCCAGGCTGTAGTGCACTGACACGATCTTGGCTCACTGCAAGCTCTACCTCCCGGGTTCAAGTGATTCTCCCACCTCAGCCTCTGAGTAGCTGGGATTATACGCGTGTGCCACCATAGCCTGGCTAATTTTTGTATTTTTATTAGAGATGGGGTTTCATCATATTGGTTAGGCTTGTCTCAAACTCCCAACCTCAGTTGATCCACCCACCTCTGCCTCCCAAAGTGTTAGGATTACAGGCGTGAGCTACAGCACCCGGCCCCACCTTTTTTTCTGAGACAGAGTTTTGCTCTTGTCACCCAGGCTGGAGTGCAATGGCACGATCTCGGCTCACTACAACCTCCACTTCCCGGATTCAAGTGATTCTCCTGCCTCAGCCTCCCAAGTAGCTGGGATTACAGGGACCCGCCAGCATACCCAGCTAATTTTTGTTTTTTTAGTAGAGGTGGGGGTTTCACCATGTTGGCCGGGCTGGTCTCGAACTCCTGACCTCAGGTGATCTGCCTGCCTTGGCCTCCCGAAGTGCTGGGATTACAGGCATGAGCCACTGTGCCTGCCCTTTTTTTCATTTTTTCATTTTTTTGTACAATAGGGTCTCCCTCTGTTGCCCAGGCTGGAGTACAGTGGTGTGATCAGGGCTCACTGCAGCCTCGAACTCCTGGGCTCAGGTCATCCTCCAACCTAAGCCTCCCAAATACATTGGCCTATAGGCGTGCACCACCACACCCAGCTGATTTTTATATTTTAATTTTTAATTTTGCTGTGCATATTTAGCTGGGATTACAGACGCACTCCACCTCGCCAGGCTAATTTTTGTATTTTTAGTTGCAACGGGATTTCACCATAGTGGCAAGGCTGCTCTGGAACTCCTGACTTCAGATGATCCTCCTGCCTTGGCCTCCCAAAGTGTTGGGATTACAGGCGTGAGCCACCGCTCCTGGCTGGCTTTGTAGAACCTTAAACATATTTATCTATCTTAAGAATTTTTCCCAAGGAAATACTTCATAAGGTAATATTTTAAAAATCAAAGCTGTTTTTAGCTGTTTTCTTTGGAGTTGTAAATAAACAGCATTAGAGAAATGATTGGCTGGGTGCAGTGGTTCACACCTATAATCCTAGCACTTTGGAAGGCTGAGACGGGAGAATCTCTTGAGGCCAGCAGTTTGAGACCAACCTGGGCAGCATAGAGAGATCCCTTCTCTACCAATAGAAAAGAGAGAGAGAGAGAGGCTGGGCACGGTGGCTCACGTCTGTAATTCCAGCACTTTGGGAGGCCGAGGCGGGCGGATCTCGAGGTCAGGAGATCGAGACCATCCTGGCTAACATGGTGAAACCACGTCTCTACTAAAAATACAAAAAATTAGCCGGGCGTGGTGGTGGGTGCCTGTAGTCCCAGCTACTGGGGAGGCTGAGGCAGGAGAATGGCGTGAACCCGGGAGGCGGAGCTTGCAGTGAGCTGAGATTGCACCACTGCACTCCAGCCTGGGCGACAGAGTGAGACTCCGTCTAAAAAAAAAAAAAAAAAAAAAAAGAGAGAAATTATTAAGTAAATTGTGGTATCATACTTGGATATTGAGATGATTAATGTGTTGACTCTGTGGCTGTATAGAAAAATGTTTATGGACAAATGTTAATATGGCCAGTTGAGGTAGCTCAAACCTGTAATCCCAGCACTTTGGGAATCCTCAGGAGGATTGCTTGAGCCCAGGAGTTAAAGACCAGCCTGGATAACATAGTGAGGCCCTACTTTATTTTAAAGGAAGTTAATAAAAGAAGTAGAACAAATTATATGTCTCAGTGGTAGTAAAATTCTGCTTACATGTTAATGAAAATTTTGAAAGGGCACTTAAAACTAGTAAAAAACTCATTTTTAGGGTAATACAATTGTAGTAAAATTTAAACATTTAAATTTTATGATCGGAAGATGGTAGTAAATCAGAAATGGCTTTGGAATTTCTTTCATTGCAACCTTAATAGTAAGCAACAGTCTTTCCCATGAAAGGGACAGAAAAAAAAGAATGTAACGTCTACATTTTTTTTTTTCTTTGAGACGCAGTCTCACTCTGTGGCCCAGTCTGGAGTGCAATGGCACGATCTTGGCTCACTGCAACCTCCGCCTCCAGGGTTCAAGCAATTCTTGTGCCTCAGTCTCCCAAGTAGGTGGGATTACAGGCACTCACCACCATGCCCGGCTAATTTTTGTATTTTTATTTTTATTTATTTTTATTTTTATTTTATTTTATTTTATTTTTGAGACGGAGTCTCGCTCTGTCGCCCAGGCTGAAGTGCGGTGGCGCGATCTCGGCTCACTGCAAGCTCCGCCTCCCGGGTTCACGCCATTCTCCTGCCTCAGCCTCCCGAGTAGCTGGGACTACAAGCGCCCGCCACCACGCCTGGCTAATTTTTTTGTATTTTTAGTAGAGACGGTGTTTCACCGTGTTAGCCAGGATGGTCTCGATCTCCTGACCTCGTGATCCTCCCGCCTCGGCCTCCCAAAGTGCTGGGATTACAGACGTGAGCCACCGCACCCAGACTTGTATTTTTATTTTTTAAATTTTAAAATTTTATTTATTTTTTTGAGACTGAGTCTTTCTTTGTTGCCCAGGCTGGAATGCAATGGCATACCTTGGCTGACTGCAGCCTCCGCCTCTTGGGTTCAAGCCTCCAGAGTAGCTGGGATTACGGGTGCTTGCCACCATGCCTGGCTAATTTTTGTATTTTTAGTAGAGACAGGTTTCACCATGTTGGCCAGGCTGGCCTCGAACTCCTGACCTCAGATAATCCACCCTCCTCGGCCTCCCAAAGTACTGGGATTACAGGCGTGAGCCACTTTGCCTAGCCTACACTGTTAAATGAATGCTTTTCAGACCATTGTACCCCACGTGCAGGTCAGGCCACATCTGGAATGTGGCGTTCAGTTCTAGATATCGCAATTTAAGCATGGAATCAGTAAATCAGTTACAGAGGAAAACTGGAATGCTATAAGGAGGGTTTAAGGAGCTGGAAATGTTTACCCTGGTAGAGAGGTTTGGGAGATGAAGACAGGAAGCAGGGAAAGCAGAAATGGTAACAAATGGCCTTCCATATTTATTTATTTATTTTTTGAGACTGAATCTCCCTCTGTCGCCCAGGCTGAAGTGCAGTGGTGCAATCTGGGCTCACTGCAACCTCCGCCTCCTGGATTCAAGTGATTCTCCTGCCTCAGCCTCCCTAGGAGCTGGGATTACAGGTATCCGCCACCACACCTGGCTAATTTTTGTATTTTTAGTAGAGACGGGGTTTCACCATGTTGGCCAGGCTGGTCTCGAACTCCTGACCTCAGGTGAGTCACCCACCTTGTCCTCCCGAAGTGCTGGGATTACAGGTGTGAGCTACTGTGCCCAGCTGGCCTTCCACATTTAAATGTTGTCTGGGAAAGGGAATATATTGATTCTCTGTAGCTACATAGGGCAGTAGTAGAAAATTACTAGGTGAAAATGATAGAGATGTAGATTTCTTTTTTTTTCTTTTTTTTTTTTTTTTTTGAGATGGAGTCTCACTCTGTTGCCCAGGCTGGAGTGCAGTGGTGCGATCTCGGCTCACTGCAAGCTCCGCCTCCTGGGTTCACACCATTCTCCTGCCTCAGCCTCCCGAGTAGCTGGGACTACAGGCGCCCACCACCACGCCCGGCTAATTTTTTGTATTTTTAGTAGAGATGGGGTTTTGCTGTGTTAGCCAGGATGGTCTCAATCTCCTGACCTCATGATCCGCCTGCCTTGTCCTCCCAAAGTGCTGGGATTACAGGCATGAGCCACTGTGCCTGGCCTAGAGATGTAGATTTCATCTTTTTAAAGAAGAATAACAAGAGTCACTCCAACATTTAAGTGGGCTATCTTCATTAGTTAGCAAGTGTGTGTATTTTAAAAAGTCATTCCATCTGAACCAAGCCTTAGTCAGCACCCAGATAGACCTAACTAAGAGCAACATGCCACTCACATTCAGGTGATTAGGAGAGGGCCCAGTGCAGGCCATTACAGAGAACTTAACTAGGCAGCAGCTGACTGCAGGTCATTTTGACTGGATACTAAAATGGGGCTGGGGGTGGGGGAGTGATCAAAGTGGTTGTCCTAGCAACAGGCAATAAGGGTGCAGAGTGGGCCAGTAACAGCATCAAGTAGGTCTAACATCAGGAAACAGGGACCCACTGGTTACTAGCTAGAAGAAGAGGGTAAAGGCTTTGGAACTAAGGCATAGGTCACCAAGACATGGATCCAGTTTCTAGGTCTTCACGGAAGATCATGGTATCAAGAAAGACATTATTAGAAACGTTCAGAGACTAGACAGGATCATCAAAAATACTGACTTGAGGCTGGGCGCAGAGGTTCACACCTGTAATCCCAGCACTTTGGGAGGCCGAGATGGGTGAATCACCTGAGGTCAGGAGTTCGAGACCAGCCTGACCAATAAGGTGAAACCCCATCTCTATTGAAAAAAAAAATACAAAATTAGCCGGGCTTGGTGGCACATGCCTATAATCCCAGCTACTCTGGAGGCTGAGGCAGGAGAATCGCTTGAACCCGGGCGGTGGAGGTTGCAGAGCTGAGATCACGCCATTGCACTCCAACCTGGGTAACAGAGCGAGACTCTTCTCAAAACAAACAAACAAAAACACCTGACTTGACACAGAGACTGTTAATTACTGACCTTAGACCTTATACCTAATGATCTCATTGGTCATGTCTGTGGGCACAGCATACAGGTAGGAATGGAAAAAAAAAATTGTTACTGGAGATTAAGTAGGATCAAGCATGTGAAGGAATTCATGAGTTACCTACAGATGTTAGATTAATAATGAGAATGGCTTCCTAGTGTCTTCAATCCTCATTCCTGCTATTACACTCTCTGGTTTTACTTCCCATTGATGGCTGCCCCCTTCTTCTCACCAAGCCATTCTCACTGTTAGCCTGATCTGCAGGGTGATGTAGTAGTACCCTTAAGCTGAGCCCCAGCTGGAAAGAGCCTCAGACTGATTATGGGGCCTTGTGAGTTTCTGGATTTAGATAATCCCTATACAGTCTAGTTCATGGAGCCAAGATTTGGCCTAGTACTTTAATTTCTTGTAGGAGTGGAGTTCTGCAGTCATTTTATTCGTCCCTCTTCTTAGGGACTAGAGCTCTGAATCTGAGCACAGGTTTTTGGGTAGTGCTGTGTCTCTGGCCAGACCTCTTAGCTTACTAAAACATAAATTCCCCATGCCTGGTCTGACCCGTATGTTGATCCTGCCATCACATCATCTAAACTGGCCGGCACAGTGGCTCACACCTGTAATCCCAGCACTTGGAGGCCGAGGTGGGAAGATCACTTGAGGTCAGGAGTTTGAGACCAGCCTGGCCCACATGGTGAAATCCCGTCTCTACTAAAAATACAAAAATTAGCTGGGCCTGGTGGCGGCCGCCTGTAATCCCAGTTACTCAGGAGGGTGAGGCGGAAGAATCGCTTGAACCCGGGAGATGGAGGTTGCAGTGAGCTGAGATTGCACCAGCCTGAGCGACAGAGTGAGACTCCGTCTCAATTAAAAAAAAAAAATCATCTAAACTGCTTTGACTTTTCTCACCAACTTTGGGCTCGGAGATTATTTCTCTTTTGCTTTTCAACACTACTGGGCATGTTTAGATCTGGATCCTGGCCCCCTTCCCAATGGCCCTGTCCTCCTTTATTTAAATAGACAAAATTCAGCTCCATTTTGAAAGTAGGATTCTTTTCACAACAATTGGGAAAAATGATTTTTTTTGTTTTGTTTTTTGTGAGATGGAATTTTGCTCTGTCGCCAGGCTGGAGTGCAGTGGCACGATCTTGGCTCACTGCAACCTCTGCCTCCCGCATTCAAGTGATTCTCCTGCCTCAGATGGCCAAGTAGCTGGGACTACAGGCGCGCACTACATGCCCAACTAATTTTTTTGTATTTTTAGTAGAGACAGGGTTTTACCCTGTTGGCTGGGATGGTATCGATCTCTTGACCTTGTGATCTGCCTGCCTTGGCCTCCCAAAATGCTGGGATTGCAGGCGTGAGCCACCGCGCCCAGCCTAATGTTATTGTTTTTACAAAATATTTGAGGAGCTGATTGAGAGGACCTTATGCAGAAACTTAATAAACTTAAAATCATATAATGTGAGATTGAAATGCTTAGATTATTCTGTAATATGGAAATAGCAGGTCTAATGTAACAGACAACTCCAGTAACAGAGGAAATGTCTACCTATTCTTTTTTTTTTTTTGAGATGGGGTCTTGCTCTGTCACCCAGGCAGAAGTACAATGGCTCGATCTCGGCTCATTGCAACCTCTGCCTCCCGGGTTCAAGCGATTCTCCTGCCTCAGCCTCCTGAGTAGCTGGGATTACAGGCATCGCGCCACCACGCCTGGCTAGTTTTTGTATTTTTAGTAGAGACGGGGTTTCACCATGGTGGTCAGGCTGGTCTCGAACTCCTGACCTTGTGATCCACCCGCCTCGGCCTCTCAAAGTGCTGGGATTACAGACATGAGCCACCACTCCCCTTCCATCTACCTGTTCTTAAAATAAAAAAAACCCATAAAGGTGGAGAGGTAATAATAACAAAGGCCTCAGATATCTATATACCAATGGAGTTTGTGGGTAGTCAGTAATGTATTCTAACCCCAGATGGCATGTAACAGCATATGTTTTTTCTTTTGTTTTGTACACATATTATATATGATAATATTAAAATAGAAAAATACTTTGTTCAATAGTTATGTAACTTGTCGTTTAAAAATCCTTGTACTTCAACACTGTTATCTTTTATTTGTGTTTTTTTGTTTGTTTGTTTTGAGACAGGCTCTAGCTCTGTTGCCTAGGCTGGAGCAGAGTGGCATGATCTTGGCTTACTGCAGCCTCAGTCTTCTGGGCTCACATGATCCTCCCACTTCAGCTTCCCAAGTAGCTGGGACTACAGGCGTGTGCCACAATGCCTGGCTAATTTTTGTATTTTTTTTTGGTAGAGATAAGTTTCACTATGTTGCCCAGGCTGGTCTCGAATTCCTGGCCTCAGGTGATCTGCCTGCCTTGGCCTCCCAAAGCGCTGAGATTACAGGCATGAGCAACCGTGCCCAGCCAACACTGCTAGCTTTTTAAAACAGAAAGTGAGTTTTATTTAGGCCGGCCGCGGTGGCTGATGCTTGTAATTCCAGCATTTTGGGAGACTGAGGTGAGTGGATCACTTGAGGTCAGGAGTTCAAGACCAGCCTGGCCAACATGGTGAAACACCATCTCTACTAAAAATTCAAAAATTAGCTGGGTATGGTGGCGTGTGCGTGGTGGCGTGTGCCTGTAATCCCAGTTACTAGGGAGGCTGTGGCAGGAGAATTGCTTGAACCCAGCAGGCAGAGGTTGCAGTTAGCAGAGATCGTGCCACTGCACTCCAGCCTGGGCAACAGAGCGAGACTCTGTCTCAAGAAAAGAAAAAAAGAAAGTGAGTTTTATTTAGACAAAGATGAAGGTTTGGAAATTAACCATATTTGTGCTTGCAAAAGGGGCACGGATTTTTAAGCCCTAGTCTCACAGGCTCTCTCTGCAGCATCTGATACTGTTGCTTGATTATTCCTGCTTTAAACTCTGTCCCTTGGATTCCAAGGCATCAGGTAGCTGCTCTTCTTTTTTCTTTTCTGTTTTTTCTTTCTCCGACTTCTTAGGGATTTCTTCTTTCTTAACTATTATGTTTTTGCAGGATTCTGTCATTGATCCCCTTTTCTTTCTAGCTGATACCCTTTCATTCTCATCTACTTTCATGCTATCAGTTATAAGCTCTGTGCTGACAACCCCTAAAAACATGTTTCTAGGCCGGGCGCAGTGGCTCATGCCTGTAATCCCAGCACTTTGGGAGGCAGAGGAGGGTGGATCACCTGAGATCAGAAGTTTGAGACCAGTCTGGCCAACATGGTGAAACCCCGTCTATACTAAAAATACAAAACAATTAAACAGCATGGTGGTGGGTGCTGTAATCCCAGCTACTTGGGAGGCTGAGGCAGGGGAATTGCTTGAACCAGGGAGGTGGAGGTTGCAGTGAGCCGAGATCGTGCCACAGCACTCCAGCCTGGGCAACAGAGTGAGACACCATCTTAAAAAACAACAACAAGAACAAAAAAAACACATTTCTAGCGCAAATGTATCGTTTGAGCTAGAGACCCACATCCGTCATCACCCTCTATAGGCACTTTAAGTATACTGACTTCTCTCCCAAACTTGAACCTTCTCTTATAGGCCAGGCGCGGTGGCTCACACCTGTAATTTTACCACTTTGGGAGACTGAGGTTGGTGGATTGCTGGAGCTCAGGAGTTGGAGACCAGCCTGGGCAATGTAGCAAAACCCCTTCTCTACTGAAAATACAAAAATTGGCTGGGTGTGGTGAAGCACATCTGTGGACCCGGTTACTCTGGTGGCTGAGGCACAAGAACCCTTGAGCCTGGAAGGTGGGGGTTGCAGTGAGCCGAGATTGCGCCACTGCACTCCAGCCTGGGCGACAGAGCAAGACTGTGCCTCAAAAAAAAAAAAAAAAATTCCTTTAAAGGAATTGTATTAAGTTCTTATCAGTGTTGTATTTTTCTTCCTAGATCTCATATTTTGGATTCTGGATATATTATAATGAGTGACACTTTGACAGCGGATGTCATTGGTCGAAGAGTTGAAGTTAATGGAGAACATGCAACAGTACGTTTTGCTGGTGTTGTCCCTCCCGTGGCAGGTAAGCAATTATTGTGTGTGTGTGTGTGTGTGTGTGTGTGTGTGTGTGTGTGTGTGTGTGTGTGTATTTTGCAGCTGTTTCTGTGTAAGCTTCTCAGTAGCACTTTATACCACAAATTTTGACGAAATTAACAACTAATTTATAGGTGCCTCCTGTATCCAGTTTTATCTGAGTGACAGTATCCTGTGGTATCTATGATTTTGTTTAATTATATGCCATTTAATTATTTAGTGTTGCTATCTTATATAAAATCAACCTTAAAATATCTTCTGAGGAAACTATAAACAGCTAAAAGTCTTGAAACCTCATAAACCTCAACTCAAGTAATTTTTTTGAAATTTCTTTTGTCATTAATCCACGTGTGTAGGTATCTAATATAGTTTAAACTGATACACATTACAATTTTTGTTACCTTTTTTTTAAACTTATTTTTTGGTATAAATTTACCTATGTTTCTACAGCATTATTTTGCAATATTTCTTCTTTTTTTGATTTTGCGTATTTCTTAATTATTACATTTAGTATAATATATAGTTTGTTTAATTGTTCCCCATTTTTGGATGTTAATTTCTAGTTTTTAGAGTAAATAATAATGTAGTAGACTTACTCATAAGTCTTAGTCAACAAAAATTTGACTGTTTTCTGTGTATTTTGAGACAGAGTTTCGCTCTTGTTATTCAGGCTGGAGTGTAGTGGTGCGATGTTGGCTCACCGCAACCTCTGCCTCCTGGGTTCAAGCGATTCTCCTGCCTCAGTCTCTCGAGTAGCTGGGATTTCAGGCATGTGCCACCACACCCGACTAATTTTGAATTTTTAGGGGAGACAGGGTTTCTCCATGTTGGTCAGGCTGGTCTCGAACTCCTGAGGTGTTCTGCCTGCCTCGGCCTCCCAAAGTGCTGGGATTACAGGTGTGAGCCACCGTGCCTGGCCAATAAGGAGGCTTTCTATGAACTGGGCAACTGCTGGAACCAAGCTGATATGGGTTTACTAGCTGATTGCAATGTGCCCAGAATTAGAATATTTATCCATATTTTTACATTACCCATCCCTCTTGTTTCTTCTGAGCTGCAGCCAGAGATCACCAGTTGGTTCACAGGAATAAGCAGGGTTAGCCTAAATTGAAGAAACAAACTTAAAAACAACTAATGAGACTAGAATCTAATGACAAATGCCCCATAGTTCTTGAAACATAATTTTTCTCTCTAGTTTCCAAGTTTTACTAAAGACAAGTCATGGTAAGACTGATTTGCTTGGGCCGGGCACGGTGGCTCACACCTGTATTCCCAGCACTTTGAGAGGCCAAGGCGGGCGGATCACAAGGTCATGAGATTGAGACCATCCTGGCTAACACGGTGAAACCCCATCTCCAGTAAAAATCCAAAAAATTAGCCGGATGTGGTGGCGGGCACCTGTAGTTCCAGCTACTAAGGGAGACTGAGGCAGGAGAATGGCATGAACCTGGGAGGTGGAGGTTGCAGTGAGCCGAGACCACGCCACTGCACCCCAGCCTGGGCGACAGAGCGAGACTCCTTCTCCAAAAAAAAAAAAAAAAAAAAAAAAAAAGACTGATTTGCTTTATTGTAATTGGCCTGATTATTTGTATAAAGTGCAGCAAGAATAATTATTTTTCTTTTTTTTCTTTTTTTAATTTTTTAATTGTATTTTTATTTTATTATTATTATACTTTAAGTTTTAGGGTACATGTGCACAATGTGCAGGTTAGTTACATATGTATACATGTGCCATGCTGGTGTGCTGCACCCATTAACTCGTCATTTAGCATTAGGTATATCTCCTAATGCTATCCCTCCCCCCTCCCCCCACCCCACAACAGTCCTCAGAGTGTGATGTTCACCTTCCTGTGTCCATGTGTTCTCATTGTTCAGTTCCCACCTATGAGTGAGAACATGCAGTGTTTGGTTTTTTGTCCTTGTGATAGTTTACTGAGAATGATGATTTCCAATTTCATCCATGTCCCTATAAAGGACATGAACTCATCATTTTTTATGGCTGCATAGTATTCCATGGTGTATATGTGCCACATTTTCTTAATCCAGTCTATCATTGTTGGACATTTGGGTTGGTTCCAAGTCTTTGCTATTGTGAATAGTGTCACAATAAACATACGTGTGCATGTGTCTTTATAGCAGCATGATTTGTAGTCCTTTGGGTATATACCCAGTAATGGGATGGCTGGGTCAAATGGTATTTCTAGTTCTAGATCCCCAAGGAATCGCCACACTGACTTCCACAATGGTTGAACTAGTTGACAGTCCCACCAACAGTGTAAAAGTGTTCCTATTTCTCCACATCCTCTCCAGCACCTGTTGTTTCCTGACTTTTTAATGATTGCCATTCTAACTGATGTGAGATGGTATCTCATTGAGGTTTTGATTTGCATTTCTCTGATGGCCAGTGATGGTGAGCATTTTTTCATGTGTTTTTTGGCTGCATAAATGTCTTCTTTTGAGAAGTGTCTGTTCATGTCCTTCGCCCACTTTTTGATGGGGCTGTTTGTTTTTTTCTTGTAAATTTGTTTGAGTTCATTGTAGATTCTGGATATTAGCCCTTTGTCAGATGAGTAGGTTGCGAAAATTTTCTCCCATTTTGTAGGTTGCCTGTTCACTCTGATGGTAGTTTCTTTTGCTGTGCAGAAGCTCTTTAGTTTAATTAGATCCCATTTGTCAATTTTGGCTTTTGTTGCCATTGCTTTTGGTGTTTTAGACATGAAGTCCTGGCCCATGCCTATGTCCTGAATGGTATTGCCTAGGTTTTCTTCTAGGGTTTTTATGGTTTTAGGTCTAACGTTTAAGTCTTTAATCCATCTTGAATTAATTTTTGTATAAGGTGTAAGGAAGGGATCCAGTTTCAGCTTTCTACATATGGCTAGCCAGTTTTCCCAGCACCATTTATTAAATAGGGAATCCTTTCCCCATTGCTTGTTTTTCTCAGGTTTGTCAAAGATCAGATAGTTGTAGATATGCGGCGTTATTTCTGAGGGCTCTGTTCTGTTCCATTGATCTATATCTCTGTTTTGGTACCAGTACCATGCTGTTTTGGTTACTGTAGCCTTGTAGTATAGTTTGAAGTCAGGTAGTGTGATGCCTCCAGCTTTGTTCTTTTGGCTTAGGATTGACATGGCGATGCGGGCTCTTTTTTGGTTCTATATGAACTTTAAAGTAGTTTTTTCCAATTCTGTGAAGAAAGTCATTGGTAGCTTGATGGGGATGGCATTGAATCTGTAAATTACCTTAGGCAGTATGGCCATTTTCACGATATTAATTCTTCCTACCCATGAGCATGGAATGTTCTTCCATTTGTTTGTATCCTCTTTTATTTCATTGAGCAGTGGTTTGTAGTTCTCCTTGAAGAGGTCCTTCATGTCCCTTGTAAGTTGGATTCCTAGGTATTTTATTCTCTTTGAAGCAATTGTGAATGGGATTTCACTCATGATTTGGCTCTCTGTTTGTCTGTTATTGGTGTATAAGAATGCTTGTGATTTTTGTACATTGATTTTGTAACCTGAGACTTTGCTGAAGTTGCTTATCAGCTTAAGGAGATTTTGGGCTGAGACAGTGGGGTTTTCTAGATATACAATCATGTCATCTGCAAATAGGGATAATTTGACTTCCTCTTTTCCTAATTGAATACCCTTTGTTTCCTTCTCCTGCCTAATTGCCCTGGCCAGAACTTCCAACACTATGTTGAATAGGAGTGGTGAGAGAGGGCATCCCTGTCTTGTGCCAGTTTTCAAAGGGAATGCTTCCAGTTTTTGTCCATTCAGTATGATATTGGCTGTGGGTTTATCATAGATAGCTCTTATTATTTTGAGATATGTCCCATCAATACCTAATTTATTGAGAGTTTTTAGCATGAAGGTTGTTGAATTTTGTCAAAGGCCTTTTCTGCATCTATTGAGATAATCATGTGGTTTTTGTCTTTGGTTCTGTTTATATGCTGGATTACATTTATTGATTTGCATATATTGAACCAGCCTTGCATCCCAGGGATGAAGCCCACTTGATCATGGTGGATAAGCTTTTTGATGTGCTGCTGGATTCGGTTTGCCAGTATTTTATTGAGGATTTTTGCATCAATGTTCATCAAGGATATTGGTCTAAAATTCTCTTTTTTGGTTGTGTCTCTGCCTGGCTTTGGTATCAGGATGATGCTGGCCTCATAAAATGAGTTAGGGAGGATTCCCTCTTTTTCTATTGATTGGAATAGTTTCAGAAGGAATGGTACCTGTTCCTCCTTGTACCTCTGGTAGAATTCGGCTGTGAATCCATCTGGTCCTGGACTCTTTTTGGTTGGTAAGCTATTGATTATTGCCACAATTTCAGAGCCTGTTATTGGTCTATTCAGAGATTCAACTTCTTCCTGGTTTAGTCTTGGGAGGGTGTATGTGTCGAGGAATTTATCCATTTCTTCTAGATTTTCTAGTTTATTTGCGTAGAGGTGTTTGTAGTATTCTCTGATGGTAGTTTGTATTTCTGTGGGATCGGTGGTGATATCCCCTTTATCATTTTTTATTGCGTCTATTTGATTCTTCTCTCTTTTCTTTTTATTAGTCTTGCTAGCGGTCTATCAATTTTGTTGATCCTTTCAAAAAACCAGCTCCTGGATTCATTAGATTTTTGAAGGGTTTTTTGTGTCTCTATTTCCTTCAGTTCTGCTCTGATTTTAGTTATTTCTTGCCTTCTGCTAGCTTTTGAATGTGTTTGCTCTTGCTTTTCTAGTTCTTTTAATTGTGATGTTAGGGTGTCAATTTTGGATCTTTCCTGCTTTCTCTTGTGGGCATTTAGTGCTATAAATTTCCCTCTACACACTGCTTTGAATGTTGTCCCAGAGATTCTGGTATGTTGTGTCTTTGTTCTCGTTGGTTTCAAAGAACATCTTTATTTCTGTCTTCATTTCATTATGTACCCAGTAGTCATTCAGGAGCAGGTTGTTCAGTTTCCATGTAGTTGAGCGGTTTTGAGTGAGTTTCTTAATCCTGAATTCTAGTTTGATTGCACTGTGGTCTGAGAGACAGTTTGTTATAATGTCTGATCTTTTACATTTGCTGAGGAGAGCTTTACTTCCAACTATGTGGTCAATTTTGGAATAGGTGTGGTGTGGTGCTGAAAAAAATGTATATTCTGTTGATTTGGGGTGGAGAGTTCTGTAGATGTCTATTACGTCCGCTTGGTGCAGAGCTGAGTTCAATTCCTGGCTATCCTTGTTAACTTTCTGTCTCGTTGATCTGTCTAATGTTGACAGTGGGGTGTTAAAGTCTCCCATTATCATTGTGTGGGAGTCTAAGTCTCTTTGTAGGTCACTGAGGACTTGCTTTATGAATCTGGGTGCTCCTGTATTGGGTGCATATATATTTAGGATAGTTAGCTCTTCTTGTTGAATTGATCCCTTTATCATTATGTAATGGCCTTCTTTGTGTCTTTTGATCTTTGTTGGTTTAAAGTCTGTTTTATCAGAGACTAGGATTGCAACCCCTGCCTTTTTTTGTTTTCCATTTGCTTGGTAGATCTTCCTCTATCTTTTTATTTTGGGCCTGTGTGTGTCTCTGCCTGTGAGATGGGTTTCCTGAATACAGCACACTGATGGGTCTTGACTCTTTATCCAATTTGCCAGTCTGTGTCTTTTAATTGGAGCATTTAGTCCATTTACATTTAAAGTTAATATTGTTATGTGTGAATTTCATCCTGTCATTATGATGTTAGCTGTTTATTTTGCTCGTTAGTTGATGCAGTTTCTTCCAGCCTTGATGGTCTTTACAATTTGGCATGATTTTGCAGTGGCTGGTACCAGTTGTTCCTTTCCATGTTTAGTGCTTCCTTCAGGAGCTCTTTTAGGGCAGGCCTGGTGGTGACAAAATCTCTCAGTATTTGCTTGTCTGTAAAGTATTTTATTTCTCCTTCACTTATGAAGCTTAGTTTGGCTGGATATGAAATTCTGGGTTGAAAATTCTTTTCTTTAAGAATGTTGAATATTGGCTCCCACTCTCTTCTGGCTTGTAGAGTTTCTGCCAAGAGATCCGCTGTTAGTCTGATGGGCTTCCCTTTGTCTCTGGCTGCCCTTAACATTTTTTCCTTCATTTCAACTTTGGTGAATCTGACAATTATGTGTCTTGGAGTTGCTCTTCTCGAGGAGTATCTTTGTGGCATTCTCTGTATTTTCTGAATCTGATTGTTGGCTTGCCTTGCTAGATTGGGGAAGTTCTCCTGGATAATATCCTGCAGAGTGTTTTCCAACTTGGTTCCATTCTCCCCGTCACTTTCAGGTACACCAATCAGACGTAGATTTGGTTTTTTCACATAGTCCCATATTTCTTGGAGGCTTTGTTCATTTCTTTTTATTCTTTTTTCTCTAAACTTCCCTTCTCGCTTCATTTCATTCATTTCATCTTCCATCACTGATACCCTTTCTTCCAGTTGATTGCATCAGCTCCTGAGGCTTCTGCATTCTTCACGTAGTTCTTGAGCCTTGGCTTTCAGCTCCATCAGCTCCTTTAAGCACTTCTCTGTATTGGTTATTCTAGTTATACATTCGTCTAAATTTTTTTCAAAGTTTTTAACTTCTTTGCCTTTGGTTTGAATTTCCTCCTGTAGCTCGGAGTAGTTTGATCGTCTGAAGCCTTCTTCTCTCAATTTGTCAAAGTCATTCTCTGTCCAGCTTTGTTCCGTTGCTGGTGAGGAGCTGTGTTCCTTTGGAGGAGGAGAGGCGCTCTGCTTTTTAGAGTTTCCAGTTTTTCTGCTCTGTTTTTTCCCCATCTTTGTGGTTTTATCTACTTTTGGTCTTTGATGATGGTGATGTACAGATGGGTTTTTGGTGTGGATGTCCTTCCTGTTTGTTAGTTTTCCTTCTAACAGACAGGACCCTCAGCTGCAGGTCTGTTGGAGTTTGCTAGAGGTCCACTCCAGACCGTTTGCCTGGGTATCAGCAGCAGTGGCTGCAGAACAGCGGATTTTCGTGAACCGCGAATGCTGCTGTCTGATCGTTCCTCTGGAAGTTTTGTCTCAGAGGAGTACCCGGCCGTGTGAGGTGTCAGTCTGCCCCTGCTGGGGGTGCCTCCCAGTTAGGCTGCTCAGGGGTCAGGGGTCAGGGACCCACTTGAGGAGGCAGTCTGCCTGTTCTCAGATCTCCAGCTGCATGCTGGGAGAACCACTGCTCTCTTCAAAGCTGTCAGACGGGGACATTTAAGTCTGCAGAGGTTACTGCTGCCTTTTTGTTTGTCTGTGCCCTGCCCCCAGAGGTGGAGCCTACAGAGGCAGGCAGGCCTCCTTGAGATGTGGTGGGCTCCACCCAGTTCGAGCTTCCCGGCTGCTTTGTTTACCTAAGCAAGCCTGGGCAATGGTGGGCACCCCTCCCCCAGCCGCGCTGCTGCCTTGCAGTTTGATCTCAGACTGCTGTGCTAGCAATCAGTGAGACTCCGTAGGTGTAGGACCCTCCGAGCCAGGTGCGGGATATAATCTCCTGGTGTGCCGTTTTTTAAGCTCATCAGAAAAGTGCAGTATTAGGGTGGGAGTGACCCGATTTTCCAGGTGCCATCTGTCACCCCTTTCTTTGACTAGCAAAGGGAACTCCCTGACCCCTTGCGCTTCCCAAATGAGGGAAAGATGTTACAGGAAATGGTCTCAATCCAGACCCCAAAAGAGGGTTCTTGGATCTCGTGCAAGAAAGAATTCAGGGCCAGTCTGTAAAGTGAAAACAAGTTTATTAGGAAAGTAAAGGAATAAAAGAATGGCTACTCCATAGACAGAGCAGCCCCTCCAGGGGATTCTGATGCACAATAAGGTTTGGTGAAAGCCATTGAACAAGATACATGTGGACTCTGCCTTCATGGAGGCTGTGGAAGTCTTTAACATATACCTAATCTGTCAAGGGTTTTTACTTTCCTGGTATTATTTGTAAATGGGAAGAGAAAGTAATGTTTAATGAATAATTACTGTGTACCAGACACTTGAAAGCATGCTCTCAACTTTGAATATTCCAATAACAACCTTAAAATATAGATGTTACTATTCCTATGTTTATAGACAAGAAGACCAAGTCTCAGGTCTTAAAACTTTTATATAGCAGAGCTGGGATTTGAATCTATCCTTCATTGCCCATGCCCTTTCTTCTCTGTTACTTCTTTTTTTTTTTTTTTTTTTTTTGAGATGGAGTCTCACTTTTGTTGCCCAGGCTGGAGTGCAATGGCATGATCTTGGCTCACTGCAACCTCCGCCTCCCAGGTTCAAGTGATTCTCCTGCCTCAGCCTCCCGAGTAGCTGGGATTACGGGGACCCACCACCACACCCAGCTAATTTTTGTATTTTTAGTAGAGGCAGGGTTTCACCATGTTGGCCAGGCTGGTCTCGAACTCCTGACCTTAGGTGATCTGCCTGCCCAAGCCTCCCAAAGTGCTGGGATTACGGGCATGAGCCACTGCACCTGGCTCTACTCTGTTACTTCTAAGGAATGTGAATATTCTCAGGTTCTTGACATATGTTGCCAAATTGTTGTCTGCAAGTCAGTCAATGTCCGGTACTTGGAAATTTCCAATATTCACATTCTCTGGGAAGCAGACTTAGCTAGAGATTTACACTTAGAAAGTTTAGTGTTCAGAAAGTTTTTTAGGGAGTACTTTGGGACCAGTACTCATGGAAGAGGAAAGAGAGTAAGCAAGGTTGGGCAGAGGGCTAAGCTGGGCTATGGTACAGCCTCAACAAATATTTCAGCTGTCTCCTTTGGGTGCTCTGAAGATAGAGTGGCCTTTCAGAGTCTTTCCTAGTGGAGATGAGGGGCTGGGTCATTATACATTAGTGATGATCTGTCACTAGGTTCTGTTGACCCTAGGAAGGGGGTGTGCCCTTGGGCAAGATGCTTTCTACAGTAGACAGTTCCATAAGAGGGCAGACAGTTGAGGGCTATTTACCAAAAGCCAGTCCTCCCAGCTATTGGGAGATAAGTCCCAATTCTTGAAGACAGGGTGGCATATCACTAGTACAGTAATATAGATAAAAGTTTTTTAATGATAGTTTAGCAAACGTGAAGTTTTTAATTTATTTAAATTTTATTTATTAAATTGCCTGTGAATGTGACACTTTCTTCATGCATGTTTTATCAGGTAAGTGCTTCTTTCTCCCTTGAAAATTGTAATTCTGCAGAGAGGGAGCTACTGTAAATTTAAGCTTTTTGTTTGTTTGTTTGTTTGAGGTTGAGTTTCGTTCTTGTTGCCTAGGCTGGAGTGCAATGGCACAATCTCGGCTCATTGTAACCTCTGCCTCCTGGGTTCAAGTGATTCTCCTGCCTCAGCCTCCCGAGTAGCTGGGACTACAGGCACCTGCCACCACACACAGCTAATTTTTGCATGGTTTTTTTGGTAGAAACGGGGTTTCACCATGTTGGCCAGGCTGGTCTCAAACACCTGACCTCATAATCTGCCCATCTCTACCTCCCAAAGTGCTGGGATTACAGGTGTGAGCCACCACGCCTGGCCTGCATTTAGTTTAGAGGTCATCTTTTGGAATTGGTACTAAGATGCACAGAAATTGAACACAGATTTAGTAATAATTTCTGCGGTTACTTCACTGGATGTTGTAGAGCTGTTATGACAACTAAATCAGTTAGATGTTTAAAGCACTTAGACCAGTTAATCGTGCATATTGTTGTAAATAAACATTTTAAAACTTACTTTAAAAAGAAATGCAGACTGGGCGTGGTGGCTCATGCCTGTAATCCCAGCACTTCAGGAAGCCAAGGCTGTAGATCACTTGAAGTCAGGAGTTTGAGACCAGCCTGACCAACATGTTGAAACCCTGTCTCTACTAAAAATACAAAAAAAATTAGCTGGGTTTTGTGGTGCGCTCCTGTAGCCCCAGCTACTTGGGAGGCTGAGACAGCAGAATCGCTTGAACACGGGAGGAAGAGGTTGCAGTGAGACGAAATGGCATCACTCCATTCCAGCCTGGGTGACAGAGTAAGACTGTCTCAAAAAAAAAAAGAAAAAGAAAAAGAAATGCAATTGTACTAATGTTCTGCAAATGGCTTCTTGTAATTGGAGATATTATTTCCTGTGATAGCATCATACAAAGATTTAAAAAGTATTACATCTTAAACTGTTCAGATGGAATAAAGATGATATACTGTGGTGGGCAGGATAATAGCCTCCCAAAGATGTCCCCAGAACCTCTGATTTTGCTAGGTTACATGGCAAAGGGGAATTAGAATTATAGATGGAATTAAGGTTGCTAATCAGCTGATTTTAAGATTGGGAGAGTATCCGGTTTATCCAGTTGGGCTCAGTGTAATCACAAGAATCATTAGAAGTAGAAGCTAGGCTAGACGCAGTGGCTCACACCTGTAGTCCCAGCACTTTGGGAGGCCAAGTCGGATGGATCACCTGAGGTCAGGAGTTCAAGACCAGCCTGACCAACATGGTGAAACCCTGTCTCTACTAAAAATACAAAAAATACAAAAATTAGTCAGATGTGGTGGTGCATGCCAATAATCCGAGCTACTTGGGAGGCTGAGGCAGGAGAATCGCTTGAACCTGGGAGACGGAGGTTGCAGTGAGCTGAGATCGTGCCATTGCACTCCAGCCTGGGTGACAAGAGCGAAACGTCTCAAAAAAAAAAAAAAAAAAAAGTAGAAGCTAGAGGCAGAAGAGGCAGTGTCAGTGTGACGTGAGAATGTTTCAGCTGGCCATTGTTTATTCTGAAGATGGAAGAGGGTCATGAGCTAAGGAGTGTGCAGCCTCTAAGCCTCTAGAAGCTGGAAAAACTTTCCTCATATGATAAGGAAGCTATCATGTAAAGGTTCATCTTACATTTCTTGCTGTTTTCTTTCTTTCTTTTGCTGGCAAATATCATTCAGGGGCCACAGTATGGGCTGCAGCGGTGTTCATTGCTACTGGGTTGGTCTTCGTTTCTGGGCCTTTTTAAAGGACAGAGCTGCCTCTGTTGGATTAATTCCTACAAGTAGAATAGATTTAAGGAAGATATGAGTAGTTTTTATATTATTATTAGAAAATACAAAAAAGAAAAGGTTTCAAAAATATAGAAAGTAGAGAGAATAAGCCAGGCGTGGTGGCTCACGCCTGTAATCCCAACACTTTGGGAGGCAGGTGGATCACTTGGTCAAGAGTTCGAGACCAGCCTGGGCAACATGGCGAAACCCTGTCTCTACTAACAGTACAAAAAAAATTAGCTGGGTGTGGTAGTGGGTGCCTGTAATCCCAGCTACTTGTGAGGCTGAGGCAAGATAATTGCTTAAACCTGGGACGTGGAGGTTGCAGTGAGCCGAGATTGCACCACTGCACCCCAGCCTGGGCCACAAAGACTCCATCTCAAAAAAAAAAAAGCGTAGACAAAGAAAGTAGAGAGAATAGTATAATGGACACCTGTATATGCTTGTCATGTCAGTTTAACAATTGTTAACATGTTACCATACCATATTTGCTTCATTTCCTTTTTTTTTTTTTTTTTTTTTTTTGAGATGGAGTCTTACTCTGTCACCCAGGCTGGAGTGCAGTGGTACGATCTCTGCTCACTGCAACCACTGCTTCCCAGGTTCAAGCGGTTCTCCTCCCTCAGCCTCCCAAGTAGCTGGGATTACAGACTTGCACCACTATGCCCAGCTAATTTTTATATTTTTAGTAGAGATGGGGTTTTCCCGTGTTGGCCAGGCTGGTCTTGAACACCTGACCTGAGGTGATCAACCCACCTCACCCTCTCAAAGCGCTGGGATTACAGATGTGAGCCACTGCACTCGGCCCATCTCTTATTTTTTGCTTAAGCATTTTAAATTATATACGGAGTAGCATTTCATTCCTAAATACTTTACATTGTAATTCTAAAAAAAAAATACGTTTTCTTACAAAACTGTACAGTTTAAATTGTGATTCATAGGTTGGGTATGGTGGCTCATGCCTGTAATTGCAGCACTTTGGGAGGCTGAAGAGGGAGGATTGCTTGAGCTCAGGAGTTTGAGACCAGCCTAGGTAACGTAACAAGATCCCTGTCTCTAGCAAAAATAAATAAATAAATAAATAAGTACATAAATAAAAAATAAAATCAGCCAGGCATGGTGGCATGTGCCTGTAGCCCCAGCTACTTGGGAAGCTGAAATGGGAGGATTGCTTGAGCCCAGGAAGTTGAGCCTGCAGTGAACCGTGATCGTGCCACTGCACTCCAGGCTGGGTGACAGAGCAAGTCTCTGTTTCAGAAAAAAGAAAGTTGTGATTCATATTGTCAAATTGCTGAACAGAATTTTTTTTTTTTTTTTTTTTTTTTTTTTAGACAGAGTCTCGCTCTTGTTGCCCAGGCTGGAGTGCAGTGGTGGGATCTTGGCTCACTGCAACCTCCGCCTCCTGGATTCAAGCAATTCTCCTGCCTTAGCCTGCCGAGTAGCTAGGATTACAGGCACCCCCCTCCATGCCCAGCTAATTTTTGTATTATTGGTAGAGATGGGGTTTCACTGTGTTGGCCAGGCTGATCTCGAACTGCTGACCTCAGGTGATCCGCCCACCTCAGCCTCCCAAAGTGCTGGGATTACATGCCTGAGCCACCACGCCTGGCCCAGAATTGTTTTAAATCAGTAAATCCAGATTATTGAAAAACTTGATTCTATTTCACATCTTGGTTTAATTCTTTAGTCCAAAGTGGTGTCCATTCTTTAAGATTTTAAGATGGGGTAGTCACATGCTCTTTTAATCTGCTGTCTTTTAACAAAATTATTTGCCAGGCATGGTGACTCAGGCCTGTAGTCCCAGCTACTGGGAGGCTGAGGTGGGAGGATTGCTTGAGCCCATAAGTTCATGGCTGCAATGAGCTATAATCCAGCCTGGGCAACAGAGTGAGATGCTGTCTCTAAAAAAATTAATAAAAAAAAATTCTGCTTTAGCTTTTTTCTTGATTAATTTTAGACATGAGTTTCTTAGCTTCCCATATAGAGAAAAATCTAATTTTTATCCCACCATTTCCTGTGGTTACACTTTGTTTTTCACCAAAATGAAATGTTTGTTTATAAAGACTTCTGTAGCATTTATTTACCTACTATTGGCTTTTCACATTATTTATATACTGAGTTATAATGCTAGAGATATTTTAAAAAATAGTATTTAATGGTCGGGCGTGGTGGCTCACGCCTGTAATCCCAGCACTTTGGGAGGCCGAGGTGGGTGGATCACAAGGTCAGGAGATCGAGACCTTCCTGGCTAACACGGTGAAACCCTGTCTCTACTAAAAATACAAACAATTAGCCTGGTGTGGTGGCACGTGCCTGTAATCCCAGCTACTTGGGAGGCTGAGGCAGGAGAATCGCTTGAACCCAGGAGGTGGAGGTTGCGGTGAGCCGAGATGGCGCCACTGCACTCCAGCCTGGGTGACAGAGTGAGACTGTCTAAAAAAAATAGTATTTATTGATTATATCTTATTATTGTTGTTTTATTGCTGTTCTTGTTCCAGAGTTTTAAATGTTTTTTTTTCATTTACTGTATTGAAATATATTGAAATAATAATACCTGGAGAATAGAGTTGACACAGGTAGTCTGGTAGCAAATCTCTTCATAAAGTATGTACAGCAGTGATGTTCTTTTAGCAGTTGTATACACCTTTCAGAAGAATCATGCTTTTATCCTCCTACAGAGCAAATAGATATATATGTATTTTAATATGGTAATGACATGATATGTTTTCATGTTCTGGGAGTGGATGAAGGAAACAGCTAAGCTTACTGACTGTTGCCTAGGGGAACATCTAAAGATTGTATCAAACCAAAGTTCCTGCCTTTGACAGACACACCGTGGTATTTAGGTGAAAATTGTAGTGTAATTAAGTAGGTAATTAAGTTATTTATTTCATTTAGTGATTTCAGGGTGCATATTGTAGTTTACTTATTACTAGGATGCAGCCCTACTTAAAATTTGTAACAAATTTTATTTTATTTTTATTTATTTTTTTGAGACGGAGTCTCGCTCTGTCGCTCAGGCTGGAGTGCAGTGGTGCAATCTCAGCTCATTGCAAGCTCTGCCCGCTGGGTTCACGCCATTCTCCTGCCTCAGCCTCCCGAGTAGCTGGAAATACAGGCGCCCACCACTACGCCCAGCTACTTTTTTGTATATTTAGTAGAGACGGGGTTTCACCGTGTTAGCCAGGATAGTCTCGATCTCCTGACCTCGTGATCCACCTGCCTCGGCCTCCCAAAATGCTGGGATTACAGGCGTGAGCCACCATGCCTGGCCTGTAATGAATTTTATTATAGACATTTGATAATTTTTGATAATTTCTTTTTTTTTTTTTTTTTTTTTTTTTGAGACAGGTTGTCACTCTGTTGCCCAGGCTGGAGTTCAGTAGTGCTATCATAGCTCACTGTAACTATAGCTTCTGCACCTGGGCTGAAGTGATTCTCTCACCTTAGCCTCCCAAGTTGCTGGGACTACAGATGTGCACCACCATGCCCAGCTAATTTTTTGTATTTTTTAGAGAGCGGGTTTTGCCAGGCTGGTGTTTAGCACCTGGGCTCAAGCAATCTGCCTGCCTAGGCCTCCCAAAGTGCTGGGATTACAGGTGTGAACCACCACACCTAGCCCTTATTTTTTGAGACAGAGTCTTGCTCTGTAGCCCAGGGTGGAGTGCAGTGGCATGATCATAGCTCACTGAAGCCTCAACCTCTGGGGCCCAAGTGATCGTCCCACCTCAGTCTCCTGAGTAGTTGGGATTACAGGCACTAGCCACCATACCTTGCTAATTTTTTGTTGAGACAAGGTCTTCCTATGGCGCCCAGACTGGACTTGAACTCCTGGGCTCAAGCGATCCTCCTGCCTTGGCCTCCGAAAGTGCTGGGATCACAGGCATGAGCCACAGTTCCAGGCCAGCTTATATATTTGTAATGCTGATTACTATTCCATTGTCTGGATGTACCACGGTTTATTCTTCACCTACTAAAGGATATTTTGTTTTCTGGTTTGGGGAATTATGAGTAAAGTTGCTTTAAACATTTGTGTGCAGGTTTTTGTGTGGACATAAATTTTCAACTTATTTGGGTAAATACCAAGGAGGATGATTTCTGGATTGTTGGATTAATTCTTTTAATTTTTGTGGGTACATAGTAGGTGTATATATTTATAGGGTACAAGAGAGATTTTGATACAGGCATATAATACATAATAATCACATCTAGGTAAATGAGGTATCCATCACCATTTATTCTCTGTTTGTTACAAACAGCCCAATTATACCCTTTTAGTTATATAAAGATGCACAATAAATTATTGTTGATGGTAGTCACCCTGTCATGCTATCAAACACTAGATCTTATTTATGCTATCTGTATTTTTGTGCCCATTAACCATTCCCACTCTCTCCCCCTGCCCAGCCCCCCAGCCTTTAGTAACCATCATTCTACTTCTTCTTCTTCTTTTTTTTTTTTTTAAGGTGGAGTCTCGCTCTGTCGCCCAGGCTGGAGTGCAGTGGTGCCATCTTGGCCCACAGCAACCTCCGCCTCCTGGGTTCAAGCAATTCTTCTGCCTCAGCCTCCCAAGTAGCTGGGATTACAGGTGTGCACCACCACACCTGGCTAAATTTTGTATTTTTAATGGAGACGGGGATTTGCCATGTTGGCCAGGCTGCTCTCGAACTCCTGACCTCAGGTGATCCACCTGCCTTAGCCTCCCAAAGTGCTGAGATTACAGACATGAGCCACCGTGCCCAGCCCCGTTCTACTTGCTATCTCCATGAGTTCAATTATTTTCATTTTTTTAGCTCCTGCAAGTAAGTGAGAACATGTGAGGTTTGTCTTTCTGTGCTTGACTTATTTCATTTAACATAATGACCTCCAGTTCCACCCATGTTGTTGCAAATGACAGGATCTCATTATTTTTTAAGGCTGGATAGTATTTTATTGTGTATGTGTTTATTTTCTTTTTCTTTTTCTTTTTTTTTCTTTTGAGACAGAGTCTCGCTTTGCCGCCCAGGCTGGAGTGCAGTGGAGCGATCTCGGCTCACTGCAAGCTCCGCCTCCTGGGTTCACGCCATTCTCCTGCCTCAGCCTCCGAGTAGCTGGGACTACGGGTGCCCACCACCACGCCCGGCTAATTTTTTGTATTTTTAGTAGAGATGGGATTTCACCATGTTAGCCAGGATGGTCTCGATCTCCTGACCTCATGATCTGCCCGCCTCTGCCTCCCAAAGTGCTGGGATTACAGGCGTGAGCCACCGTGCCCGGCCCTTATGTGTTTATTTTCTTTATCCATTCATCTGTTGATGGACACTTAGGTTGATTCCAAACCTTGGCTATTTTGAATAGTGCTGCAGTAAACATAGGAGTGCAGATGTCTCTTCTATATACTGGTTTTCTTTCTTTTTGGTATATAACTAGCAGTGGGATTGCTGGAACATATGGCAGTTCTATTTTTAGTTTTTTGAGGAATCTCCAAACTGTTCTCCATAGTGGTTGTACTAATTTACATTCCCACTAACAGTGTGTGAGGGTTCCCTTTTCTCTAGCATTTATTATATCCTCTCTTTTGGATAAAAGTCCTTTTAACTGGAGTGATGTGATATCTCATTGTAGTTTTGATTTGCATTTCTCTGATGATCAGTGATGTTGAGCACCTTTTCATGTACCTGCTTGCCATTTGTATGCCTTCCTTTGAGAAATGTCTATTCAGATCTTTTGCCCATTTCTTAATCGGATTAATAGATGTTTTTCCCATTGAATTGTTTGAGCTCCTTATTATATTCTGGTTATTAATCCCTTATTAGATGAGTAGTTTGTAAATATTTTCTCCCATTCTGTGAGTTGTCTCTTCACTTTGTTGATTGTTTATTTATTTATTTATTTATTTATTTATTTTTCTTTTGAGACAAGAGTCTCGCTCTGTCTCCAAGCTGGAGTGCAGTAGCGCCATCTTGGCTCACTGCAACCTCCACCGCCCTGGCTCAAGCGATTCTTTTGCCTTAGCCTTCCGAGTAGCTGGGACTACAGGGGTGCGCCACCACGCCCAGCTAATTTTTGTATTTTTAGTAGAGACGGGGTTTCACCACGTTGGCCAGGATGGTCTCAATCTCTTTTTTTTTTTTTTTTTTTGAGACGGAGTCTTGCTCTGTCGCCCAGGCTGGAGTGCAGTGGCGCGATCTGGGCTCACTGCAAGCTCCGCCTCCTGGGTTCACGCCATTCTCCTGCTTCAGCCTCCCGAGCAGCTGGGACTACGGGCGCCCGCCAGGATGCGCGGCTAATTTTTTGTATTTTTTAGTAGAGACAGGGTTTCACCGTGGTGCTAGCCAGGATGGTCTCGATCTCCTGACCTCGTGACCTTGTGATCCACCCGCTTTGGCCTCCCAAAGTGCTGGGATTACAGGCGTAAGCCACCGCGTCCGGCACTTTGTTGATTGTTTCTTTCGCTATGCAGAACTTTTGTGATGGATTAATTATTTTTAATTCTTGTGATGTCAGTGAAGTTGGGCCTGATTATGATTGGCTTTTCATGTGGCTTGAGTCCATGGAGAATAGGAAACAAATTAGGTTGACCAGAGTAATCAGGTTTGTGTGACAGCTTTATTAATCATTGTGAATTAATAAACCTGTGTGCTAGTGTCTGGTTCAGTCTTCTGTGCATTTGGAATTTTCAAATTGAGGCTATCAGGGTTTGTTCGCCCTGGATGTAGAAAGCAAAAATCTGGATCTTACACATTCCTGGGATCTGACTGGTGAGGTATACCCTTATACCATGTCTGTCCACTCTCTTACTCATACTGGTTTCTGTAGTTGCTCCTCTATCATTAATGTACTGGCCCCAGGGGAAAAGCTTGCTAAACCATAGATATTCTTCGTCAGACTTACAGCTAATCACAGTTGAATGCTGGCCTTGCTCCTTCTGTCTGCTTTGGCTTGAAAAATGACTTGTGCTTTGCAGTGTGAGAGAATGGCCTTATTTTGTGCATTCTTCTTTGTAGCATCCATCAATTCAACCCATTCTGATAGTTTCTATGATGATAACATTTACTTCTTTCTTTTTTTTTTTTTTTCTTTTGAGATGGAGTTTTGTTCTTGTCGCCCAGGTTGGAGTACAATGGTGCGATCTTGGCTCACTGCAACCTACACCTCCTGGGTTCCAGCAATTCTCCCAACTCAGCCTCCCAACTAGCTGGGATTACAGGCACCCGCCACCACGCCCGGCTAATTTTTCTATTTTTAGTAGAGATGGGGTTTTGCCATGTTGGTCAGGCTGGTCTCAAATTCCTGACCTCAGGTGATCCACCTGACTTGGCCTCCATAAGTGCTGGGACCATAGGTGTGAGCCACCGTGCCCGGGTATTGGAAAATGTTTTCTTTTAATGAGAGCATTTATACCATTTATGTTTTACTTAATTATTGATAATTTGGGTTTATATCTCTCATCTTACTACTTGCTTTTTGTTTGTTTTGCTGACATTCTGTTCCTTTTTTTCTCCCTTCATTGGATGACGATGATGATTATTTGTGGTGTTTTCTTTTTTTTTTTTTTGAGACAAGGTCTTACTCCATTGCTCAGGCTGGAGTGCAGTAGCACTATCTGCAAATTCTGCCTCCTGGGTTGAAGCAGTCCTCCCACCTCAGCCTTCCGAGTAGCTGGGACTACAGCTACTGTAGTCCCAGCTACTCGGAAGGCTAAGGCAAAAGAATCGCTTGAGCCGGGCTTATTTTTGTAGTTTTTGTAGAGATGTGGTTTCACTATGTTACCTAGGCTGATCTCAAATTCCAGAGCTCAAGCAATCAGCCAGTCTTGGCCTCCCAAAGTGCTGGGATCATGGGCGTGAGCTCCCGTGCCCAGCCACTATTTCTTTTCTTTTTTTCTTTTTTGAGACAGAGTCTCCCTCTGTCACTCAGGCTGGAGTGCAGTGGCTCAACCTTGGCTCACTGCAACCTCCATACCTCAGGCTCAAGCGATCCTCCCACCTCAGCCTTCTGGGTAGCTGGGATCACAGGCATGCACCACCATGCCCAACTATTTTTTTGTATTTTTAGTAGAGACGGGGTTTTGCCATGTTGCCTAGGCTGGTCTCGAACTCCTGAGCTCAAGCAATCCACCCGCCTTCACCTCCCAAAGTGCTGGGATTACAGGCGTGAGCCACCAAGCCTAGAGATGATTATTTTTACCTTGTGTTTCTTCTCCATTAGTTTGGAGTTGTGGTGGTATGATATATATTGGTTTTTGTTCATGGTTCCTGGTTCTCAACTCCCATACCTCTTGTTACAGTCTTTTGTTATAATATTGGTGTGTCAGGCCTCAGGAAACAGGATCTCTCTCCTGCCCTCCATTCTCCTGCCCCAAGGCAGAACTCTAATCTTCTTCCACCATTCTGACTGTGGGTCATAAGACCCTCCCGGAGAGGCTCCCACCCCTCTACACTAGAGGCAGGAATGCTAATGTCTTTGAACTTCTAGATAGCTGAATCTGTGAAGGTTCTTGCATCCATGGAGGGCTTGGAAGCTCCACAGCCCTTCCCCTGTACCTCGCCTTAGCACACCTCTTCATCTAGATTCTTTGCAATATTTTTTATAATAAACCTGTAAATGTAAGTAAGTGTTTTCCTGAGTTCTGTGAGCCGCTCCAGCAAATTAATCAAATACAAAGAGGGGGCTGTTGGAACCCCAGCTGTTTGAAGCTGGTCGGTCAGAAGTTCCAGACGCCCAGGCTAGTGGCTGGTGGTCTGACACTATGTCCAGTCAGATAGTGTCAGAATTGAATTGGCGGACACCCAGATGGCATCCCCTGCTTGGTGTGTGGGGAAAACCCCCACACATTCGGTCACAGAAGTCATCTGTGCTGATCGTTGTAGTGTGAGGAATAGTGTAGCAGAGGAAAGACATGGTTTGGAGAGTTTTAACTTATGCAGTAGTTATTCATTTTTTATTTTTCCTTACACAGCAGTTAATTTTTTATTATTTAGAGGTAAGTCTAGAGATTAAAATATGCATCTCTGGTTTACAGAAATCTAGTCTAATAATTATACCTCCTTTTGGACCCATGAAAGACCTTAGAACATGCCATTTATCACCTTCCTAACTCATATGTGTGACATTTTAACCGATGTTTATTTTAAACCCGAAGAACTGATATTATTACTTTACATTGTCTGTATTACTTTAACTTCACCCATATATTTACCCTTTTCTTGCCTTTTATCTCCCCACTCCTTGTATCTTTAGGCTTCTATCTGGTATAATTTTCTTTTTCCTTGAAGACTACCTTTATTGGGTTTTTGCTGAAATTGAAGGAAAAAATTATTTTTCCTCTTTTTTTTTTGAGATGGAGTCTCGCCCTGTCGCCTAGGCTGGGGTGCAGTGGCGTGATCTCGGCTCACTGCAACCTCCGCCTTCCGGGTTCACGCCGTTCTCCTGTCTCAGCCTCCGGAGTAGCTGGGGCTATAGGCGCTCGCCACCGTGCCTGGCTAATTTTTTGTATTTTTAGTAGAGACGGCGTTTCACTGTGTTAGCCAGGATGGTCTCGAACTCCTGACCTCGTGATCCGCCTGCCTCTGCCTCTCAAAGTGCTGGGGTTACAGGCGTGAGCCACTGTGCCCAGCCTTTTTTTTTTTTGAGACGGAATTTTGCTCTTGTTGCCCAGGCTGGAGTGCAGTGGCATGATCTCGGCTCACTGCAACCTCCGCCTCCCGGGTTCAAGTGATTCTCCTGCCTCAGCCTCCCGAGTAGCTGGGATTACTGTCATGTGTCACCACACCTGGCTAATTTTGTATTTTTAGTAGAGATGGGGTTTCTTCACGTTGGTCAGGCCAGTCTCGACCAGTCTCGAATTCCTGACCTCAGGTGATCCGCCCACTTTGGCCTTGCAAAGTGCTGGGACTACAGGCGTAAGCCACTGTGCCTGGGCTTTTTTTTTTTTTTTAATTTTTATTGTAGCCACATACATAACATAAAGTTTGCCATTTTAACCACTTTTCAATTTAACATTTTAAATTGTGGTGAAATATACGTAACATAAAATTTACCATCTGAACCAGTTTTGAATGTACAGTTTAGTAGTAACTACCCTAAGTATCTCATATAAGTGGAATATGGTATTTGTCCTTTTATGGTGGCTTATTTCTCTTAGTGTAATGTCCTCAAGGGTCAGTTTTGTTTAGTGTGCTCAATAAATTTTAGCCATTCTTGTTTTCTGGAGTGGTGGTTTTTGTTGGCTTTTTCACCCAGACATGCTATGGCATTTGCTGATTGAAGTCCTGAGTATAAGGCTAACTTGTCCATTCCCTCCTCCCCAAGTGGTATCTGTGTGATATGGTTTCCGCTGCAAATTGGTATTTGCTTGCAGAAAACTGGAGCATTGCCTGTATCATCATCTGTTACTCATTTGGTTTTTCTTGTTCTGCTAGGACCCTGGTTAGGAGTAGAATGGGACAATCCCGAGAGAGGAAAGCATGATGGGAGCCACGAAGGGACTGTGTATTTTAAATGCAGGTAACTTTTCATTATGAATCAGCACGGTCATTTAGTCAAGATTATATTTAATACTTGAATAAGGAGGGATGGAGAGGAAGAAATGTTTGGCTCATGGAGTAGTTATATTATGGAATTTGTTGTATTCCAAAAAGGCAGTTATTTTATTTGTGGCTTAATTGCTGCTGTTTGTAGCATTTTTCCCTTTTTTAAAAAAATTCTGACTCTTGACCTTATGCATGGCGTTGCTTTCTTCGTCCTTTTTTTTTTTTTTTTTTTTTTTAACAGTCCTTTAAATTGGATGAATGTAAACCTTTCTGGCTCATTACCAATTTACAATCCAGTAAGTAAATAATAGAAAAGAGAAACAGCCTAGATTTCCAGTAAGAAGGAATTGATTACACAAAATACAGAACATCTGAATAGTGGAATGTTGAGCCACCATTAAATAAATTTCTTATCATAGGAAGAGTTACATGTCACATTGCATTTCTTTGTCTTTTTTTTTTTTTTTTTGAGACGGAGTCTCACTCTGTCGCCCAGCTGGAGTGCAGTGGCACAATCTCAGCTCACTGCAACCTCCACCTCCTAGGTTCAAGCAATTCTCCTGCCTCAGCCTCCTGAGTAGCTGGGATTACAGGTGCCCACGACCACGCCTGGCTAATTTCTGTACTTTTAGTGGAGACGAGGTTTCACCATATTGGCCAGGCTGGTCCCGAACTCCTGACCTTGTGATCCGCCCGCCTCAGCCTCCCAAAATGCTGGGATTACAGGTGTGAGCCACCACGCCCGGCCTGTCACATTGCATTTCTATTATTATTTTTGATCGCCTGATGTCAGAAAAACTGCATGAAGCCCTGAAAAGGGTGCTGGGGAGCCTTCAGGCAGAGCCTGTCTTCTAAATTTTTGTTGTTGTTGTTGATTTTTATTAGTTTTCAATTTCTGAAAACGATCTTTCCCTAGTAAGCTGTTTTTCCTTAAGTATGGTACAGTGAACACAATACTGCCCTGGAAATCAGGGGGCCTCTAGCCTGTTTTTAACAGTCTTTTTTGTTTGTTTGGTTGGTTTATTTGTTTATTTTTTGAGACATTGTCTCGCCTAGACTGGAATGCAGTGGCATGATCATGACTCACTGTCACCCTGAACTCCTGGGCTCAAGTGATCTTCGCGCCTCAGTCTCCTGAGTAGCTGGGACTACAGGCGTGCACCAGCACACCCAGCTAATTTAAAAAAATAAAAATAAAAAAGAGATGAAGTTTTTCTATGCTGCCCAGGCTGGTCTCAAACTCCTGGCCTCAAGCGATCCTCCCACCTCGGCTTCTCAAAGTGCTGGGATTACAGATGTGAGCCACTGCACCAGCCCCACTTTTAACAGTCTTTATGGTCCTGAACAAGACAAGTTTACTAACCTTTAAAATGAAGGTCAGAATTAGGTAACCACACAGCATATCTCCTGGTCCACTATTTCATAATTTTAGAAAGTCAGGGTGTTCTTAAAAGGCCAACTCTACTTGTAGACTTGCCATCTCTGAATTTGTTCAGAGCTGTTCAGGTTATATGGTTAGGGAGAAATATTTTAGCCAGGCCCACAGATTCCTTAGGTACCTGGACCATGACCTTACAAACCCTCCAGTGAAAGGACTTTTTTCTTTTTTTTGAGATGTAGTCTCACTCTGTGGCCAAGGCTGGAGTGCAGTGGCGTGATCTTGGCTCACTGCAACCTCCACCTCCCTGGTTCAAGCAATTCCCCTGCCTCAGCCTCCTGAGTAGCTGGGATCACAGGCGAACGCTACCACGTCTGGCCAATTTTTTTGTATTTTTAGTAGAGACGGGGATTTCACCAGGTTGGCCAGACTGTTCTCGAACTCCTGACCTCAGGCAGTCCACTGGCCTCGGCCTCCCAAAGTGCTGGGATTACAGGTGTGAGCCACCACCCCCTGTGAAAGGACTTTTTATTTGGAACTTACCCCAGCCTACTTCCTTCTTGTAAAAGCTTGCCCAAATTGTCCATACTTTTATGGTCTTTAATGGTCTCTGGATACAGTGATATTTTCAAAGTCTTGGTTGCTCTGAGCAGAAAAATCAAGAATTGCTTCAAGTCCTGGGTGATGCAGGGTTTGTCCTGAAATGCTAATGGGAAGCCTTGGTTCAGGGACATTGAGTCAGTATAGTCATGCATTGCTTAATGAAGGGGATGTGTTCTGAGAAATGCCTGTTAGGTGGTTTCATCATTGTGTGAACATCATAGTATACTTAACAAACCTGCGTGGTGTAGCCTACTGCACACCTAGGCTACTGTATGGCATAGCCTATTGCTTTTAGGCTATAAACCTGTACAGCATGTTACTGTGCTGAATACTGTAGGCAATTGTAACACAATGGTAAGTATTTATCTAAACATAGAAAAGGTACAGTAAAAATAAAAAATTGGCCGGGTGCGTTGGCTCACGCCTGTAATCCCAGCACTTTGGGAGGCCAAGGCAGGCGGATCACGAGGTCAGGAGTTCAAGACCAGCCTGGACAATATGATGAAACCCTATCTCTACTAAAAATATAAAAATTAGCCAGGCGTGGTGGCGGGCGCCTGTAGTCCCAGCTACTCAGGAGGCTGAGGCAGGAGAATTGCTTGAACCTGGGAGGTGGAGGTTGCAGTGAGCTGAGGTCGTGCCACTGCACTCCAGCCTGCGTGACAGAGCAAGACTCCGGCTCAAGAAAAAAAAAAAATTAAGCAGTGTGGGGTGGTACGGGTGGTATGTGCCTGTTAGTACCAGCTACTTGGGTGGCTGAGTCATTAGGATTGTTTAAGCCCAGGAGTTTCAAGACCAGCCTAGGCAACACAATGAGATCTCATCATAAAAAAAAAAAAGATAGAAAATGGTATGCCTGCATAGGGCACTTAGCGTGAATGGACCTTGTAGGACTGGAAGTTGCTCTGGGTAAGTGAGTGAGTGGTGAGTGAATGTGAAGGCTGGGACATTCTTGTACCCTACTGTAGACTTTGGAAACACTGTAGCCTTAGGCTACACTAAACTTAGAAGTTTTTTCTTTCTTTAATAATAAATTAACTTTAGCTTCCTGTAACTTTTTTATGTTATAAACTTTAAATTTTTTTTTTTTTTGGGATGGATTCTTGCTCTGTCACCCAGGCTGGTGTGCAGTGGCATGATCTCAGCTCACTGCACTGCCTGGGTTCCAACGATTCTCTTGCCTTAGCCTCCTGAGTAGCTGAGATTACAGGCATGCGCCACCACACCTGGGTAATTTTTGTATTTTTAGTAGAGATGGGATTTCACCATGTTGGCCAGGCTGGTGTCGAACCCCTGACCTCGTGATCAACCCTCCTCAGCCTCCCAAAGTGCTGGGATTATAGGCGTGAGCCACCATGCCCGGTACTTTTTTTTTTTTTTTTTTTGGAGACAGAGTCTTGCTCCGTCACCCACGCTGGAGTGCAGTGGCACAACCTCGGCTCACTGCAACCTCTGCCTCCCAGGTTCAAGTGATTCTCCTGCCTCAGTCTTCCGAGTAGCTGGGACTACAGGCGCATGTCACCATGCCCAGCTAATTTTTGTATTTTTAGTGGAGACGGGGTTTCGCCATGTTGGCCATTCTGGTCTCGACCTCCTGATCTCAGGTGATCTGCCTGCCTTGGCTTCCCAAATTGCTGAGATTATAGGCATGAGCCACTGCACTGGACCTGAGCCTTCTTCCAGAATACCTCCTGAAGGACCTGCCTGAGGGTAGTTTACAATTAACTTTTTTTTTTTTTTTTTTTAATAAGTAGGAGTTTGCTGGGCACAGCAGCTCATGCCTGTAATCCCAGCACTTTGGGAGGCTGAGGCAGGAGGATCACCTGAAGTCAAGAGTTCGGGACCACCCTGGCCAACATGGTTAAACCCCGTCTCTACTAAAAACAGAAAAATTAGCTGGGCATGGTGGCATGCACCTGTAATCCTAGCTACTGGGAAGGTTGAGGCATGAGAATCACTTGAACCTGGGAGGTGGAGGTTGCAGTGAGCCAAGATCACACCATTGCACTCCAGCTTGGTCAGCAGAGTGAAACTGTGTCTCAAAAAAAAAAGAAAAAATAGAAGGAGTACACTCTAACATAATGATAAAAAGTATAGTATAGTGAACACTTAAACTAGTAACATAGCCATTTATTATCATTATCAAATATTATGTACTATACATAATTGTATGTGCTATACTTTTATGTGACTGGCAGTGTAGTAGGCTTGTTTACACCAGCATCACCACAAACACGAGTATTATGTTGTACTACAGCATTAAGACAGCTACAGCTTCACTAGGAGATAGGATTTTTTCAGCTCCAGTGTGATTATGGGACCACTGTAGCATATGCGGTCCATTGTTGATCTACACGTCATTATGTGGTGCATGACTGTATTTGGATTCTTAGCCTTGGAATAACTGCTTACTTCATTATATCGTCTAGTGTTGTGTTGTCATGCCTAAACATTTACATAATTGAAGTACATATTATCTTATTATAAATAACTTTTTAAAATTTAAATAGGCACTTTGTTGACATTAAAAAATTATATGAGTAGGTAATGTTATCTGTGAATTCCATTTCAGGATATTTATGGGGCAATACAAAAGAGATCATTGGGTCTGAAGTGGTGGAGAACCACTGGTCTGGACTACAGGAATTTAACTGGTCCTTTAGAGTTTGATGATTTCATGTCATGTTTTAGTTTCTCTGATCTCTTTTGTAACCTAAGGTAAATATAGTAATCTCCTGAGCTATTATTACCCATAATTAATATTTGTAACATTAGCAATTAATAGTGGTTTACAGTGTCAAAATAAAAATAAAATGTGCAGATGAATGTCTAAGTGTAACATTTTATTTGGGAAGCAAGAATTGCAGTTCAGGGCATCCGCACAGACTAGATCGTCTTTGGTATATCCAAAGAACAAAGAACAAAGAGAAACGTGGATTTTTTCTTTTAGTTTTTGAGACGGAGTCTCACTCAGTCGCCCAGGCTGGAGTGCAGTTGCACCATCTCGGCTCACTGCAACCTCCGCCTCCCGGGTCCAAGCGATTCTCCTGCCTCAGCCTCCTGAGTAGCTGGGACTACAGGCGCCTGCCACTACACCTGGCTAATTTTTGTATTTTTAGTAGAGATGGGGTTTCACCATATTGGCCAGACTGGTCTCGAACTCCTGAACTTTTGATCTGCCCACCTCGGCCTCCCAAAGTGCTGGGATTACAGGCATAAGCCACTGCTCCTGGGCTTTTTTTTTTTTTTTTTTTTTTGAGACGGAGTTTCGCTCTTGTTGCCCAGGCTGGAGTGCAATGGCGTGATCTCGCCTCACTGCACCCTCCTTCTCCCAGGTTCAAGGGATTCTCCTGTCTCAGCCTTTTGAGTAGCTGGTATTATAGGAAAGTGCCACCACGCCTGGCTAATTTTGTATTTTTAGACAGGATTTCTCCATGTTGGTCAGGCTGGTCTCGAACTCCCGACCTCAGGTGTTCTGCCTGCCTTGGCCTCCCAAAGTGCTGGGATTATAGGCGTGAACCACTGCACCTGGCCCCCGCCTTTTTTTTTTTTTTTTGGACGCAGGGTCTTGCTCTGTCACCCAGGTAGTAGTACAGTGGCACAATCATGGCTCGTTGCAGCCTCAACCTCCTATGCTCAAGCAGTTCTCCCACCTCATTTTTTGATTTTTTTGTAGAGATGGAGACTCCCTATTTTGCCCTGGCTGGTCTCAAACTCCTGGGCTTGAGTGATCCTCTTACCTCGGCCTCCCAAAGTGCTGGGATTACAGGTGTTACCCGCCGTGTCCTGTCTAGTACATTTTATAAAAAGGAGAAATGTTACATATTGTTCTGAAAGAAAGTTCATTGGCACTAGTCAAGTTTTGGAGAGCTGGCTAGCAAGCTCTGATTGGTGAGTGACAGTGGTGGGTAAGATTAGTCTTAGAGTCACGGCAGATTGTTTTAGTAGCTATTAAATAAAACTGGCTTCAGGTTACAACAGGCAGTCTCAGCAGCTGGGCTTGTAATAAACTGAATTCTTGGAGCAGGTGTTGTGTGCCCCGAGCACTTTTTCCCCTTGGTCCCTTGACTCTGATTTAGTTGGGTATGACAAGAATGACCCAGTTTCTGTAATCAACTTTCCCAAGATTTATCCAAGATTTATGGCCGTGCGCCAGTCACCCGTGTCCTTCCTAGGTACTCCTGCTCTCTACTTCTTGTTGAAGGGGTAGTTGAGGGGTTCAAATATGGTAAGTAACCTTGAAGTCCTCTTTACCTTGTCCGTAGACAGCAGAGTGGTTTTCAGTTTTTTTTTTCTTTCAACCTAAACCCCAGAGTATGCTCTGAACAGAGCTGTGTGTGTCAGTATTCTGCCCACTCACCTTTTATTTCAGTGCTTCTGTTTCCAAGCAATGGTAGAAGTTCTCTTTTCTGGTGAGAAATAAATCTTAAAATCTGACTTTTCTTCAACACTAGGGAGCAGAATCTAACTTTAATACTTAGCATCAGAGAGGTCGTGCTGTTCCAGCCTGTGTCTGTGGTAATGGACATCTTAGGAAATGGATGGTTGACAATTTAAGAAACAAAGCCCTAGCAATAAAGGATAAGTGTTTGAAAGAAAGGATAAATGTTTGAAGTGATAGATACCCCATTCACCCTGATGTGATTGTTACACGTGTGCCTGTATCAAAATATTGTATGTACCCACAAAAATTAAAAATTAAACTAAAAAAAGAAAGCCCTTGATTTATTCATCTTTTGTGTGTCATAAGCCAGTTGTAAAGTGTTTTGAGGATCTTGGCTGAGCATTAATGGATTGGTATAAAATATTCTCTTGGTGTGGTGTAAAGTGTTGGAAGATTTTTTTTTTTTTTTAATCAGGAAATGTAATGATAGTATGTGGGCAAGGCGCATCTCTGTTCAAAAAGGTGGTAGCTCTGCTTCATTTTTGGAAGGTTTTCTTGAATCAGAGCAAAATCATAATTGTGTCAACGCAAAAGCAGTTGAGATGAATATTAAATTCAGCTGATTAGAGAAGCAAACAAAAAGAGCAGTCTACAGCAAGGTGCTTATCTACTGTACTGCTTTACTCACAGGAAAACAACCTCTCTGGGTCAGCTCTTTAGATGTTACAGCGCTGAACACTGCACGAAAGCTGAGTTCTCCTCTCCTGATGAACAGCTAGTTATGCAACCTTGCTGAACACTAAACATTCCTGAAACAAACAGGGTATCAAGATCAACAGTATTTATTAGAAACTCCCCAGAGACCTGGCCTTTTCCAGTAGCTTGTATCCAAAGCTCCAACAAGAAAGAAGCTTACTGTGGAAGTCTGGGAGTCTGTTGGGGACCCTTTACCTTTGTGTAGTGTTGCCAGATTCAGCAAACAAAAATACCAAATGCATAGTGAACTTTGGATTTCAGATAAACAGCCAATCTTTTTTTTTTTTTTTTTTAGTATAAGTATGAGACATGCATGGGGGCATACTTACTTAAAAATGATTTGCTGTTTATCTGAAATACAAGCTTAACTGAGCATCTTCGATTCTATGTGGCAGTCCTGATGGGGACATAGGACAGAATGAATCTTGATAACTGGGTTTTATGAGCACATGCTGTTTCCACAAGGGCCATGGGTCAGGATGATGATTTTACCAGCAGCATGTGTAATTGGTAGGCAGAAGGAGGAAGGAACCTGAACAGGCCAAATGCTTCCAAGAGAAACGTTTTTGGACACCCCTCCCTGTATTCTCCTCCTCACCAACATTTTTCTCTTTAGACATGGTTTGGAATTTCAGTGTTTGGATACAGTTTCTTAATATATTAATGTAGAATCTCAGTGGAGTCTATGTAAATTATTACAGTTTACCTCTTGGAGATTTGTTGTTATTGATGGGCACCCATTCAGCTAGGGTTTTTCACTATTTGTTGAGGCTGTTTTGTTTTCTGAGAAACCTGCTGGAAATGTTCCAGAAAATATTGATCTTTAGTGTTAGTCTTTGATCTGTAAAGGGCATAGCATCCGTTTTGCAACTACCTAACAACATTCCTAACTCTCCTTTCATCTGCCTGCAACTAAACTCAACAGTAATAAAGATCTGTTCATGACTTCTTGTTTTTTTACCATGGTTTTAAAACTTGTTTATTACCACTGTTTTAAAAAGTGTAGATTTAGGGCCTGGCGCCGTGGCTCATGCCTGTAATCCCAGCACTTTGGGAAGCCGAGGTGGGCGGATCACTTGAGGTCAGGAGTTCGAGACCATCCTATCTAACACAGTGAAACCCCGTCTCTACTAAAAATACAAAAAATTAGCCAGGCGTGGTGGCGGGTGCTTGTAGTTCCAGCTACTTGGGAGGCTGAGGCAGGAGAATGGCGTGAACCCGGGAGTTGGAGATTGCAGTGAACCGAGATCGTGCCACTGCACTCCAGCCTGCGTGACAGAGTGAGACTCTGTCTCAAACAAAAACAAAAACAAAAAAAACAGAAACAAAAATTAGCCGGGCGTGGTGTTGCACGCCTGTAATCCCAGCTACTCAGGAGGCTGAGGCAGGAGAATTGCTTCAACCCGGGAGGCTGAGGCAGGAGAATTGCTTCAACCAGGGAGGCTGAGGTTGCAGTGAGCCAAGATCACCCCACTGCACTCCAGCCTGGGCAACAGAGGGAGACTCTATCTCCAAAAAAAATTATAATAAAGGAATAACGAATGGCTACTCCATAGGCAGAACAGTCCCGAGGACTGCTGGGTGCCCATTTTTATGGTTATTTCTTGAGTATATGCTAAACAAGGGGTGGATTATTCATGCCTCCCCTTTTAAGACCATGTAGGGTAATTTCCTGACGTTGCCATGGCATTTGTAAACTGTCATGGTGCTGGTGGGAGTGTAGCAGTGAGGATGACCAGAGGTCACTCTCATCTCCATCTTGGTTTTGGTGGGTTTTAGCCAGCTTCTTTACTGCATGCTGTTTCATCAGCAAGGTCTTTAATGACCTGTATCTTGTACCGACCTCCTAGTTCATCCTGAGACTTAGAATGCCTAACAGTCTGGAATGCAGCCTGGTAGGTCTCAGCCTTATTTTACCCAGCTCCTATTCAAGATGGAGTTGCTCTGGTTCAAACGTCTCTGACATATTTCCCCCCTCCCTTTTACGAGAGAACCCTTAATCCTAAGGGCTGCAGAGGGATGAAGATCCACTTTCTGTAACTTCTTTATGCTGAACAGGGGTGATGATATTCCTGCCTAACTGTTGGGTCTCTTGCATTCAGGGTAGAGGAGCTCAGTTCGAAAGCGTTGGTATGGCGAAGGCCATTCATAACTCTTGAGTTCCGACAAAAGGTATATCTGGAAGATTAATAAGTGTTCAGTTTAAGAAAACATTTAGTAAGCTTATCCTGCATTCCTACACAAAGAGTATAATCACAGCAATATATTCCACAACAGTAAAATAAAAAAAATAAAATTATCCCAAGTAAACTGAATTAGAAAGTTTTCCATGAACTGGGCAATTGTTTAAATCAAGCTAATAAGGAGTCACTAGCCAATTCCAATATGTGCCCAGAATTAGAATAACATTACCCATCACTCTTGTTTCTTCTGAGCAGCAGCCAGAGATCACTGGTTGGTTCACAGGAATAAGTGGGATCATTCTCTTGTCTTCCATAGGTCTGTGGGACACAGGTCAGGAACTGTGTAGACAAGGAGTGAGGCCAGTTTTCCCAAGCGGCTTTTATTGGCTCTATAAGTCAAGTTTGATTCCATAAAGGAACACACACCATTCCAGTTGAAGCCTTGGTAAAATAAGCAGTTTCTCCACTTGTGTCCCAAGGTCACCCAGTCAGTGCTGCAGACTATTTCCTTTGGGTTGGGGGGCGGGTCCCCTCAGTGTCCTCCTTTCTGTGGTTCGCCAGAAAGATGTTACCAGAAAGGGGTCCTGATCCAGGCCCCAAGAGAGGGTTCTAGGATCTTGCAAAGGAAAGAATTTGAGGGGAATCCATAGAGTAAAGTGAAAGCAAGTTTATTAAGAAAGTAAAGGAATAATAAAGAATGGCTACTCCATAGGCAGAGCAGCCAGTAAACTAGGCTTGTAACTTAAGAGACATGTTTAACTTACAGAAACAAATCACTGATGTGTGTGTATAAGCCATGAGAGAGATATGGGACTTAATTTTGCTACAAAAGAGGATTTAATTTCCTGCATAATCAGCTTCCCCCTATTCCACTGAATTAATTTCATCAACATACAAGGTGGATATTTTCTCCTGTCTTAAGCAATCTCCCTCCTTTGACCCCTGTGCCCCTTCAGGACAAGGGTAGGCTGTGCTCACTTGCCTCCCAGTCTTTGGAACTCACCCTCGCTGGGCTTTGCCCTATTGCCCCACCCAGACTGCTCGTAGGAAAGGTTATGTTCATGTTGCTGGATTCAGTGGCAAGGCCTCAGCTGTTACCTTACCTGACCTGGTTTTAGCATTGGACATGGTTGTTGACTTTCTTCATTGGCTTCCAGGACACCACACTCTCCAAGTTTCCCTTCCCATCCCTTTCCCTTCCCATCCCTTTCCCTTCTCCTCCCCTTCCCCTCCCCTCCCCTCCCCTTCCCCCCTCCCCTCCCCTCCCCCTCCCCTCCCCCTCCCCTCCCCTCCCCCTCCCCTCCCCTCCCCCTCCCCTTCCCTCCTTTCCCCTCCCCTCGTTTCCATCTGTCGCCCAGGCTAGAGTGCAATGATGTGATCTCAGCTCATTGCAAGCTTCACCTCCTGGGCTCAAGCAATTCTCTTGCCTCATACTTCCAAGTAGCGAAACTCCAGGTACCAGCAACCATGCCTGGCTAATTTTTGTATTTTTAATAGAGGCAGGGTTTCACCATGTTGACCAGGCTGGTCTCAAACTCCTGACTTTAGGTGATCTGCCCACCTCAGCCTCCCAAAATGCTAGGATCATAGGGGTGAGCTACCGCACCTGATCTCAAACTCCTGACTTTAGGTGATCTGCCCGCCTCAGCCTCCCAAAATGCTAGGATTATAGGGGTGAGCTACCGCACCCAGCCCACACTCTCTAAGTTTCTAACTCCCTCCTGGCCACTTCTTCCCAGGTTGGGGATTGGTTTTAACTTTTTGGGATCACAAGTTCCTTTTAGAGTCTGATCATCACTGTGAACCCACATCTTAGAGAAAACTGTACGTATGTTTATGTTAACAAAATTTATCACAAATATTAGTTTTCATCCTTTTCAATTATTATTATTATTATTTTTTTGAGATGGAGTTTTGCTCTTGTTGCCCAGGCTGGAGTGCAATGGCATGATCTTGGCTCACCGCAACCTCTGCCTCCCGGGTTCAAGTGATTCTCCTGCCTCAGCCTCCCCAGTAGCTGGGATTATAGGCATGTGCCACCACACCTGGCTAATTTTGTATTTTTAGTAGAGATGGGGTTTCTTCATGTTGGTCAGGCTGATCTCGAACTCCTGACCTTAGGTGATCCGCCCTTTTCAGCCTCCCAAAGTGCTGGGATTATAGGCATGAGCTACTGTGCCTGGCCAGAATTATGGTGACTTCTAAAAAGGTCTGATTTCTTTCTTTAAGAGTTAATGGTTGTTGCCTGGGCAACGTAGTGAGATGTTGTCTCTTAAAAAAAGTACGAAAAGTGTTAGCTGGACATGGTTGCTTGTACCTGTAGTCCTAGCTACGTGGGAGGCTGAAGAGGGAGCATTGCCTGAGCCCTGGGAATTGGAGGCTGCAGTTAGTTATGGTTGTGTCACTGCACTCTCACCGAGGTGACAGAGTGAGACCCCCTTTCTTTAAAAAAAAAAAAAAAAAATTAGGCGTGGTGGCTCACGCCTGTAATCCCAGCACTTTGGGAGGTCAAGGCGGGAGGATCACTTAAGGTCAGAAGTTCAAGACCAGCCTGGCCAACATGGTGAAACCCTGTCTCTCCTAAAAATAGAAAAATTAGCCTGGGTGTAGTGGCACATGCCTGTAGTCCCAGCTAATTGGGAGGCTGAGGCAGGAGAACTGCTTGAACCCAGGAGGTGGAGGTTGCAGTGAGTCAAGATTGCGCCACTGCACTCCAGTCTGGGCAATAGAGTGAGATTCTGTCTCAAAAAAAAAAAAGAAAAAAAGTAATGATCGTAAGCTGAAATAGTGTTTATAATACAATTTTGATCAATTTATAGAGTTCACTGTTTCTTCTTTTTTTTTAAGTGACAAGGTCTCTCTCTGTTACCAAAATAAAAAATAAATAAGTAAATAAATAAATAAATGATTTTGTATATAATCCACCTACGATTTTTTTTTTTTTTTTTTTTTTTTTAGATGGAGTCTTGCTCTGTCACCCAGGCTGGAGTGCAGTGGCATGATCTTGGCTCACTGCAACCTCCACTTCCCGAGTTCAAACAATTCTCCCGCCTTAGCCTCCCTAGTAGCTGGGACTACAGGTGTGCACCACCACGCTGGACTAATTTTTGTATTTTTAGTAGAGATGGGGGTTTCGCCATGTTGGCCAGGCTGGTCTTGAACTCCTGACCTCAGGTGGTCCTCCTGCCTTGGCCTCCCAAAGTGCTGGGATTACAGTCATGAGCCACCGTGCCTGGCCACCCCCATGGATTTAATACTTCTGTTTTTTCTAATGTGAATTGTCAGTTTCATATTACTTGTTAGTTTATTTAAAGGGATTTAACATGCTTGCATAAGATCATAACCCTTTATGGTCAATCATACTGATTATATATTATTTTAGTATGTGATATTCTCTTTTATGCTAATTTTGATTTTTTAGCATGTAGAAATTTTTGAAGACCTTCAGAAAATTGTATTTATGGCCTTTCTTGGTGGGTAATATTTTCTGTGTTTCATTTGCTCTTCTTTACCAGGCACCCGACAGGAGGATCCTTTATTCGTCCGAACAAGGTAAATTTTGGAACAGACTTTCTTACTGCAATTAAGAACCGCTATGTGTTAGAAGATGGACCAGAGGAAGATAGAAAAGAGCAAATTGTTACAATTGGAAATAAACCTGTGGAGACTATCGGTTTTGACTCTATTATGAAACAGCAAAGGTAAGTGGAGTTTATAACGGCAGAGCTGACTTTTATGGTTTTATTAAGGTTCAGAATTGAAATACCCATGACTGTATATGGATGCTCATGACTTTGCTCCTAAACTGGTTTATGGTTCCACAGAAACGGAATCAAAATCTGAGGAATCCAAGAATTATTTAGGGAAATTAAAATTCTTATGTTAGCACAGGATTGGTAGATTTATCCAGTTTGCAATTGAAATATTTATTGGCCCATTATTACTATTCACATCATATTATCTCGTGTTGACTAAGTAACCAAGGCTGACGTTTGGGTTCTTTTCTATTTCATGGTGATGATGGTAAGTTGGGAATGGAAACAGCAGTCTGAATTGTTCCCTATGCCGTGGAGCGTGCTGGTGCCGTCTGTTAATAGTAGGGAGTAGTTCTCACCTCGGGCTGCACATCTTCATCACCTGGGGAGCTGTGGAACATGCGGCATCCTTGGTCCCATCCCAGATCTGCTCAATCACAATTTTGGGATATGGGCTCTAATGCATTTTATTGTATTGTATTGTATTGTATTTTTATTTTTATACAGACAGGATCTTGCTATGTTGCCCAGGCTGGTCTTGAACTCTTGGGCTCAAGTGATCCTTGGCTTCCCAAAGCACTGGGGATTACAGGGATTAAGCACCCGGCCTTAAAATAATGCCCTTTAAAACTGCTGCACAAGAACATTCTCTTTTCTCTGAAACTGTATATTGTGACTTTGTACAAGGAGGCTTTCTAGTCATTCCAGTGAACTGCTTGAATCAAAGAGAGAGAAAGATAGTATTTACACAAAACCAGTCATGGCTGCACAAGAACTGGCCAGGCCTTGCAGCTTCCTACTGTGGTGAGTGACTTGGACGAGGCATCTGGGTAAGGACCCCTGGTGGCCACTGTGAGGATAAATTTGTGGCCACTTGGAGGCCTGCAATATATTTTCTTTCAGTCTCTAAAAGAATTAAGCTATAGTTCTGTCCAAAGTAAATTTCTTTACTATCTTTTGTTATTGTTGTTATTAATAAAAGTGCACATGGGGACAATGTGGAAAATAAATACATTTCTTGGTACATCTACTCTTTAGCATACATGGCCCCCATTAAAAAAAACTCAGAATAAATCAAGAGTTTTAGAAAAAGGAACAAATGGACTGTTCTTTATAAAACAAGATACCTTTATTGTTGAGAATTTAGAAATTACAGATTGAACAAAAAAGTATCATGATTAATGCCACCACTTAGATATAAGTATCGTAAACGGGCTGGGTGCGGTGGCTTATGCTTGTCATCTTAGCACTTTTGGAGGCCGAGGCAGTTGGATCACTTAAGGCCAGGAATTTGAGACTAGCCTGGCCAACATGGTGAAACCCTGTCTCTACTAAAAATACAAACAATTAGCTGGGTGTGGTGGTACGCACCTGTAGTCCCAGCTGCTTGGGAGGCTGAGGCAAGAGAATCGCTTGAACCTGGGAGGTGGACGTTGCAGTGAGCCGAGATCATGCCGCTGCACTCCAGCCTGGGTGACAGAATGAGACTCTGTCTCAAAAAAAAAAAAAAAAAAGAAAAAAAAGACGTAACTATCATGAACAGTTTTTACTGTTTACCCTACTGATTTACTTGGATTTAAAGAACTACATGCTTCATAGGGTTAGAGTTCTTTGCTTTATTTTTTCCCATTTAAAATACAAATAGCCTGGGCAACATGGCAAAACCCTGTCTCTACAAAAAAAATAAATAAATAAATGCAAAAATTAGCTGGGTGTAGTGGTGCGTGCCTATAGTCCCAACTATTTGGGAAGCTGAGGTGGGAAGATCACCTGAACCCAGAAGGTCAAGGCTGCAGTGAGACATGATTGCACCACTGCACTCCAGCCTAGGTGACATAGTGAGACCTTGTCTCAAATGACACACAAACCAAAAAAAAAAAACCCCAAATATTTACATATCTCTTACCCAAAGGAAGCATTTTTTTAATTGGTTAATCTCTTTCTGAGAATATTAACAAATTGCAAATGGATTTTCGTCCCCTAGTTTATGAACAGCTATGTAACTCATGAATTTTTCTGTAAATGACCCTACTACTTGAGTATCATTGCATTTAATCATTAGCTAGTGTCTTTCTTGATTGAAAAGGTAAAATTTTAGAGATTCTGGAGTAATCTCATATGTTGGCTGGAGATTAGTCAATTCAGAAATTATGAGACAGCTTGGTGGAATGCAGCCAGTGTTGGAGTTAGGCTGGGTTCAGCCGCCAGCTAAGGCACTTTTGGCTCTGACAGAAGTTAGAGATAGCTGCTTATTGTTTCTAAGCCTCAGTTTCCTCAGTTACAACATAAAACCTAAGATATAAGTGCTGTTGTGAATAACAAATGAGATCCTACAATTAATGATAGCTGTCAGTTAGGAGTTGAAACCTCTACTTTAAGCCATTGTCTTATCTCATCAATAAAATCCAGCTGACCAGCTTTGAGATCGTACCACTAAGAAGAGACTTACTCAATAAAGGAATCAAAAACAAATTAAAAAATCCATTATGTATGGTTTCTCTTGGAGATGGCTTTGGCTCTGGAGTGATGCTTGGACTGAGATCTGAGTCCTCATGCTTAGTGCCAAGTTGACCTGGCAAAGAAGGCTATTTTAAATTTTAGGGGGAAGGAGCGACATCTGTCGGACACAGTGCAAACTACAGTTTGAAGTAGTTGCCTGTTTCATGAGATTCCTGTAGTTCTTTTCAATGATGTCATAAGCCTACAAAGCTGGCTTTTGGGCAATTGCCGCGATAAAACACAAGTATTTATGTACATCTATCATGCATCAATAGAAATATTTGTTTTATAAAAAAGCAAGTATCTCTTAAATCAGTGTGGAACTGGAAATGGAATTGGTGGCGTCCAGTCTGATTCCAGGGTTTGGGAAGTTGGGCAGTGCCCAGCAGACACTGAGTTGACAGGACATAAGTAATGATTAAGTTGTTTGGCCCTAACTACGTACTTAATTGGAACTGTGAGGTATTTATTTTGGCCTAAGTACCATGAAAAAAATTACTGAAACCCTAAGGACCGTGTGGCCTGAGAAAGTTTGGGACCCTCTAACCTTGAATTCTGCTGCTGCCTTTTGTACCCTGGTTTTTCTTTCTTTTTTTTGTTGTTGTTTCTTGTTTTTTGTTTTGAGACAGAGTTTCACTCTTGTTACCCAGGCTGGAGCGCAATGGTGTGATCTCGGCTCACTGCAACCTCCACCCTCCCGGGTTCAAGCGATTCCCCTGTCTCAGCCTCCTGAGTAGTCGGGATTACAGGTGCCCCCCACTATGCCAGGCTAATTTTTGTTATTTTTTTTAGTAGAGACAGGGTTTCACCATGTTGGCCAGGCTGGTCTCGAACTCCTGACCCCAGGTGATCCGCCCACCTTGGCCTCCCAAAGTGCTGGGATTACAGGCATAAGCCACTGCCCCCGGCCATGTATTTGTTCTTCTGTGACTGGCTTATTTCACCTAGCATAATACACTCAAGGTTCATCCACATTGCGGCATATGTCAGAATTTCCTTCCTTTTTTTTAAGTTCGCACAATATTGCATTGTATATGTGTGCCACGTTTTGTTTATCCTTTCATTTGTTGATGGACACTTGGGTTGCTTCCACCTCTTGACTACCAGGAATAATGCTGCTGTGAACTTGTGCATATACCGTGGCCTTTTAGAGATGTGAAGTCTGAGGCACAGAGGTGCTAATTCACTTCTCCAAAGCCAAAGGAGATGGTGGAATTGGGATTTGAACCCAGGTGGTCTGGTTCCAGATTCTGTGTTCTTAGACATTATGTATGCGGATTCTTTTCATGAATAGAAAGCACAAGATTCTCTACACTTAACAAATGGCTGCCGGAAGTATCTGGTCATGCTGAAGCTGGGTGCGCTCTCTAGGAAGTACCTTAGGGAGGCTTTTACATGTGAGTGCGAGAAGCACTCCATAGCATGTACTTCTGCGTGGTTGGGAACAATCTAAATGTCAGCAGAAGAGTATGTACATTCCTTGTGGTCTGTTCATATAACAAACGCTGTAAGGTGTGAAGATGAATGTCCTGGAGCTCCATGTGTCACCGTAGTGAAATCTCACCACTGAACAATAGACTGTTGAGGAAAAAGTCAGGTGCAGAAGGCTCTGCGGAGTAGAATACCATTTATATCAAGTTTCAGAATATTAAAAAATGCTGTAATTGTTTAGGGATATGGAAATATATGGTAAAAATATTAAGAAATGCTTAAGATTAAATAAACACCAAATGTAGTATAAGGCCCTGGGGAGGGCCGGGCGTGGTGGCTCACGCCTGTAATCCCAGCACTTTGGGAGGCGGAGGTGGGTGGATCACTTGAGGTCAGGAGTTCGAGACCAGTCTGGCCAACATGGTGAAACCCCGTCTCTACTAAAAACACAAAAATTAGCCAGGTGTGGTAGCAAGCGCCTGTAATCCCAGCTACTGGGGAGGCTGAGGCAGGAGAATCACCTGAACCTGGGAGGGAGAGGTTGCAGTGAGTCTAGATTGTGCCACTGCACTCCAGCCTGGGCAACACAACGAGACTCTGGCTAAAAAGCAAAAAGAAAAGTTTACCTCTGGGAGTAGAGGGAGAATTGTGTTTGGAGAGGGCCCCAGAGGACTTCAGTTGCATTTGTAATATTTGTAGTGCTCTTTTTCTTTTTTGTAATGCTTTATTTCTTAATTTGGGTGGTGGTTACTGGTATTTGTATATTATTTTTGGTACCCTTTTATATGTCTGAAATGTGTTTAATTTTTTAAAGGGCCAGTGGATAGCATACGTGCTTATGTATCCATGTGAACTCTGTTTTTCATGCAGTCAGCTGAGCAAGTTGCAAGAAGTTTCTCTGAGGAACTGTGCAGTAAGTTGTGCTGGTGAAAAAGGAGGAGTTGCTGAAGCATGTCCTAGTATCCTTTTCACCGAGAGCTTGTTATTGGAATCTGACTATGGATTTTATACCTGTGCCAGAGACTGCTAATTGCCTACCCATTGTCCAGTCTTGACAACTTCCTTCCTAATGCAGTTCAGTTTTGCTTGGTGTAGTTGGGGCCCAGATAAATTATTTACCTTCCCAGACCCCTTTGCTTGCAAGTTTGCCAGCATGTTCAGGTGGAAGTTTCTACACCGGGCTCCTTGAAAGGGGGCACACTTGGCCAGGCGCAGTGGCTCACGCCTGTAATCCTAGCATTTTGGGAGGCTGAGGCAGGTGGATCACGAGGTTAGGAGATCGAGAACATCCTGGCCAACATGGTGAAACCTGTCTCTACTAAAAATACAAAAATTAGCCGGGTGTGGTGGCGTGTGCCTGTAGTCCCAGCCACTCAGGAGGCTGAGGCAGGAGAATTGCTTGAACCCGCTAGGCGGAGGTTGCAGTGAGCTGAGATCGCGCCAGTGCACTCAGCCTGGAGACAGAACAAGACTTCATCTCAAAAAAAAAGAAAGGGGGCACACTTGTTTGGCCTCTGCCTTTTGCCTGTTGCTTTTACCCTTCCCCTGCCTTGAGCGGATGGAAAGCCCAGGGCTTTGGCAGCTGTCTTACAAGTGTGAAGAAAGCCATCCAGTACAGATTGGGAGAGCAGAGGAGAGGGAACCTGGGCTGCTGACTGTGTACTGGGAACCTAAGATGAATCTGCTTCAGCCCTGGTCTGTTTTCTCATGCAGTTCTTTTTTTTTTTTTTGAGATGGAGTCTTGCTCTGTTGCCTAGGCTGGAGTGCTGTGGCGTGATCTCAGCTCACTGTAACTTCCGCCTCCCAGGTTCAAGTGATTCTTCTGCCCTAGCCTCCCAAGTAGCTGGGATTACAGGTGCCCGCCACCATGTCTGGCTAATTTTTTTTTTTTTTTTTTTTGAGACGGAGTCTCGCTCTGTTGCCAGGCTGCAGTGCAGTGGCGTGATCTCAGCTCACTGCAACCTCCGCCTCCCGGGTTCAAGCAATTCTCCTGCCTCAGCCTCCCAAGTAGCTGGGGCTACAGGCGCCCGCCACCACGCCCAGCTAATTTTTGTATTTTTGGTAGAGACGGGGTTTCACCATGTTGGCCAGGATGGTCTTGATCTCTTGACCTGGTCATCCGCCCACCTTGGCCTCCCAGAGTGCTGGAATTACAGGCGTGAGCCACCACGCCTGGCCTCGTCTGGCTAATTTTTGTATTTTTAGTAGAGATGGGGTTTCGCCACATTGGCGAGGCTGGTCACGAACTCCTGACCTCAGGTGATTCCCCTGCCTCGGCCTCCCAAAGTGCTGAGATTATAGGTGTGAGCCACATACCTGGCCTCATGCAGTTATTTTTTAGTGGGAAAGACTCTGGTTCTGTTTCATGCAGCTGAATGCAGTTTGTTATAATACCCCAACAGAGGCTCTTTATGAAGTTTGGAATCTCTTTTCTCTACCTGCTCTTATTAGTGTTATTTTTGTCATATATTTCTTTTTTGCCTGTAAGCAAAAATGTTGGAGGTAGGTTAAAAGAAAATTTTAAGGATGGGCATGGTGGCTCATGCTGGTAATCTCAGCATGGTAATCTCAGCATTGGGAGGCTGAGACTGGAGGACTGTTTGAGACCAGCCTTGGCAACATTGCCAGACCTTGTCTCTATAAAAAATTAAACAAAGCAAAACAAAACTGGGTGTGGTGGCATGTGCCTGTCATCTCAGCTACTCGGGAGGCTGAGGTGGGAGGACTGCTTGAGCCCAGGAGTTTGAGGCTGTGATGAGCCATGATCATGCCACTGTACTTCAGCCTGGGAGACCCCGTTTCTATTAAGAAATTTCCCATGGAGGCTGGGCGCAGTGGCTCATGCCTGTAATCCCAGTACTTTGGGAGGCCGAGGTGGGCGGATCATCTGAGGTCAGGAGTTTGAGACCAACCTGGCCAACCTGGTGAAACTCCATCTCTACTAAAAATACAAAAATTAGCCAGGCATGGTGGTGCATGCCTGTAATCCCAGCTACTTGGGAGGCTGAGGCAGGGAGAATTGCTTGAACCCGGGAGGCGGAGGTTGCAGTGAGTGAGGTCATGCCATTGCACTCCAGCCTGGGTAACAGAGTGAGACTCTGTTTCAAAAAAAAAGAAAGAAATTTCCCATGGAAACCAAATAGACTTTCTTTAACTTTAAAAGGTCTTTCCCCAATTCATTAAGTCTGTCTGATCTGTACATAATAACTTTTGCAAAAAATAGCAGTTTTGATCAGTTTTTTTCTGAGTGAAGAGATGCCAGGTGAAGTAGCTCTCTTTGGCAAAATGCCCCGACAGTGCAGTGAAGGAAATTAGATCAGACATCTCTCCATCTGTGTGTCTGAGGGTTCACTTCCCTTGGGGGAAACAGTCTGGGGGTCTGTTGGGACCTGTGGTAGCTGCACAGGTCTCTGCCTGTCTCTGCCAGTCTCTGCCCCTGAGCAGCCTCCTCCGTTGACCCCAGCGTGCTGCAAATATGAGGTCATTTTCAAAAGTAGGCAGCTGGAGTGAGGGGAATTGAAGTGGATGCAGAAAAGAGTTTGCTGAGGAGCCAGTGCCACAGCAGTGTCAGAGCATTCTGCATTCTGCCTGGCCTATTCCTAAACTATTTCAGAAGATTGGTAATCGGGCTGTGTACAGTGGCTCATGCCTGTAATCCCAGCACTCTGGGAGGCCAAGGCGGGTGGATCACCTGAGGTCAGGAGTTCAAGACCAGCCTGGCCAACATGGTGAAACCTTGTCTGTACTAAAAATACAAAAAATTAACTGGGTATGGTTACGGACGCCTCTAATCCCAGCTACTCAGGAGGAGGCTGAGGCAGGATAATCACTTGAACCCGGGAGGCAGAGATTGCAGTGAGCCGAGATCACACCACTGTGCTCTAGCCTGGGTGACAGAGCAGGACTCCATCTCAAAAAAAAAAACCAAAAAACAAAAAACGGGGGGGCCAGGTGTGGTGGCTCACGCCTGTAATTCCAGCACTTTGGGAGGCTGAGGCAGGTGGATCACCTAAGGTCAGGAGTTCGAGACCAGCCTGGCCAACGCGGTGAAACCCCATCTCTACTAAAGTACAAAAATTAGCCAGGCATGGTGGTGGGCGCCTGTAGTCCCAGCTACTTGGGAAGCTGAGGCAGGAGAATCGCTTGAACCTGGGAGGCAGAGGTTGCAGTGAGCCGAGATCGCGCCATTGCACTCCAGCCTGGGCGACAAGAGCGAGACTCCGTCTCAAAAAAAAGGACAGATGTGGCGGTAAATGGGTTTGGGAGTGCTGGCTGTTGGGTTGCTCAGAGCTGTCAGCAGTGTCCTGAAGAATCAGCATGTTGTTTGTTTATACTGCACTTTTCTGGAGAAAAATGTCCCCCAGGACACGAAGAAATGAGGTTTCACGAAGATAATCAAGTCATGATTGGTATTTGCAGATACAGTGATAAATGTCTTGCAGCTCCCGATTGAATTCTCGCCAGAAGTTGAAGTATTGCTTTGGGTGCTTAATCCAGTCATCCTTTTTTGGGTTGGTCTGTCTTTGAGGTTATTTACTCTACCAGAACTCGAGGCAGTGGGAGAGCTGCAGACCCGGGTGTGTCAAATCTGAGGGTACTTCCAGGGGAGGGGATGAGCTTCCTCCTCCCTCATGACCTGCGGAGGAGAGTCTGTGCCCAGGTGCTTGGCCTGTGCTTTCACGGGGGCTCCTTGAACGGTGTGTGTGGGAGGGGCGACCACATATTGACAGCTGTTGTTCGTGGTTGATTTCAGGATGTAGGTGGTCTGTGTGCTCTGTACAGACCTTAGAAACAATAACTCTAGGCTACATAATGGGAAGCAGCAGTGAGGGAAGCGTGATTGGACTTAAACCCTTCCTCAGCAGCCTAACAGCCGATTTAGCGGGGTTAATGGAAACACAGGGTGGCCAAAGTGTCACCCAGAGGCCGGGAAAGCACCCCTCGCATGAGCCTGTGTTAGGCGGTGTCAGGAAGCTAGGGCAGCCGAGAGGAGGCTGAGGAGGAGGGGCAGAGGAGCAGTTTACAGAAGCCATCATGCAGGTGTGGGCCCAAGGGCAGAGGAGGAGCGCGAGGGGACCTGGAGGGTGTTTGCCCGGTCTGGAATTTTCGGCAGCCTGCACCGACTCTTTTCCCTTCCATTTGATGCGACGGCCACGGCAAAATTGAGGCTATTCTGCAGGTACTCATATTACCGATTGAAATGCAACTGTTTACGAGGGTAGACCCCATTGTTAGCTCTTGGGCTGTAATAGTCCAGGCAGCTGGCAGGATTCGGGCATGGGTAGCTGGCGACCGGGTATGGAGTCATCCCTTTCTTCGCATCTTCTCTGCCGTCCTTCCCTTGTTCCTGACCTTCTTGCAGAGCTTCCTAATTGGTTCCTGCCTAAAATTATTTCCTTTCTAACCAATGCTTTGGAGTGATGCCACTGTTTTTGTAAAGAAACTTTCTCCACGTTTTATGTATGTTTGATGACTCCCTGTTGCATTATGGGGTGCAATGATATGGATTTTGGATCGAGGATGACTTGGGTGTAACTTCCCACTTGTTCATTTGCACACAATGACACAGCTCTGTGACTGCTGTGCCACCGTTTGTTCTGCTATGAGAAAGCAAAACAACCCAGCAATCAGCATAGTGCCTGGGTCTGGTTAGCAGTGGCAGCAGCAGTGCGGGTGGTGGCTGTCACTGCTGCTGTTGTTATTACTGGATCTTAGAGCTCTTTTTTTTTTTTTTTTTTTTGGAGATGGAGTCTTGCTCTTTCACTGGGCTGGAGTGCAGTGGCGCGATCTTGGCTCACCGCAACCTTCTGGCACCCAGGTTCAAGGATTCTTCTGCCTCAGCCCCCTGAGTAGCTGGGACCACAGATACGTGCCACCACGCTTGGCTGATTTTGTTTTTGTTTTTTTTTTTTCTTTTTTTGAGATAGAGTTTCGTTCTTGTTGCCCAGGCTGGAGTGCAATGGCATGATCTTGGCTCACTGTTACCTCCGCCTCCCAGGTTCAAGCGATTCTCCTGCCTCAGCTTCCCGAGTAGCTGGGATTACAGACATGTGCCACCATGCCTGGCTAATTTTGTATTTTTAGTAGGGATGGGGTTTCTCCATGTTGGTCAGGCTGGTCTCGAACCCCCGACCTCAGGTGATCCGCCCGCCTCGGCCACCCAACGTGCTGGGATTATAGGTATGAGCCACAGTTCCCGGTCCAATTTTTGTATCTTTAGTAGAGACAGGGTTTCACCGTGTTGGCCAGGCTGGTCTCGAACTCCTGACCTCAGGTGATCCGCCCACTTTGGCCTCTCAAAGTGCTGGGATTACAGGCGTGAGCCGCCGCGCCTGGCCTGGATCTTGGAGCTCTTCTTCTGTCGCTGGCCACTCCTCAGTCGCTTCTGTGGGACCTTTCTCTGGTTGCAGACTGTTGGGTGTACCCCAAGGCTCAGACTTGGGAGCCCTGGGCTTCTTGAGAGACCTTCTGGGGTGTGGCTGGCACTCCTCCACGGCCTGCCCTCTTCCACATCTGTCTCTCCAGCTGCAGCTTTGATACCTCTGTCTGGATGTCTCATAGCCATCATAGATTTAGCATGTCCAAAACTAAGACCCACGCCTGCTCATCCTGTAGTCTTTTCCCTCTTAATAAATGACAGTTCCATTTGCACAGGCCACAGATCTTGGAGTTGTCCTTGACACTCCCTTTCTCCCATGCCCCACACCTAAATCCATTGGCAAATCCTGTGAGCCCCACTTCCAGAGTCAGACGCCCCCTCTGACATGTTCTGCCCTCTCATGCTGCTGGTTTGCTCCGGCCTCCTGGAGACTCCCGGCCCTCCTTTATTTCCCTGCAATTGTGCTCAACTCAGAAGCACAGTGACTTTTACTGGATTTTTTTGTTGTTGTTGTTTTGTTTTTTGACATAATATAGATCAAAGTCAAAGCAGAGTGATTTTTAAAGGACCCAGGTCACCTGTCGCTGTTTCAAAGCCTCCAATATCTCCCGTTTCAAGCAAACTTTGAAAAGTCCGTTTCAAACAGACTTTGAAGTGGCCTGCAAGGCCCTTTGTGATGTGGCCTGGCCCCTTATTCCTTGTGACCTTGTTTCTAGTACCCCCAAGCCCCTCTGCTCGAGTCACACAGGCGCTGGCGGTCCCGGTCATAGGCTGAGCTCGTTCCCACCCCAGGGCCTTTTGCTCTTGTCACTCCTCCGCCATGTGCTCCTCTCCCAGATGGCGTTCCCCCATTTCCCTCAGCTCTCTGCTCAGATGCCCTCTTAGAGGAGGTGGTCTTCCCTGGGCACTGCATATAGAACAGCCACACACCTTTCCTGCATGCCCTGCTCTGTCCCTGAGCACAGACAGGCCTGCCTGTGACACACTGTTGAGGCCCCTGTGTCGTGATCGTCTCTCCCCGATGACACTCTGCTTTGCTCACTGCGATGCTCCTGGCCCTAAATAATTACTTGCAGAATAGACGAGTGCATTGAATAATTTCCACACATACACATATTAGATGAGAGTGTAGCTCCTCCAGTAGCTGGCCCGGTCCTGCTGCAAGCTCCTCTGTCTTTCTCTGCGGGGACCTGGCTAAGCTGTGCCCCTTCCTGATGGTGCTGCACCTGCACCTAGCCCCTCACCTCCACTTGTGTTGTCTGTCGGCTTTGCTTTTCCAGCCCCACTGTGTTATCCTCTCTGAATCCCTGTATCAGGGGCAGTTGGAGTGATACTGTTACAACTGCTTCCAGGCTACCGGACACCCTCTCAATTCCTAAGTCATGCGCTTTTGCACATGTGTCCCAAGTTGACCCCTCTTCTCTGCCCTGTAGATGCTATTTATCTGGAGATTCCTATGGTAATGGTGCCCCATAGAAGGTCATGTGCTGGGGTGAGGCTTGTGTGTATACCTTAGGTGCTTCAGAAATCAAAGTTACCCTCACTGCTTTTCCCCTCTCCTTTT